>NC_000013.11:84827413-84980253 GCF_000001405.40 Homo sapiens
TTTATTATTTAGATTTTATAAGGTGTAATTTTAGTTTTTTTCTAGCCATTTTTAGACTTACCTAAAATATTACATTTCTGTTGTCTTGGAACCATATTGTCACCCATCTAAAACTCTATATGAGAAATAGATTATTAGTATGCTAGAAGAATTTTTCTTACTTGTAAAACCTGTTCAAAAATATATATGTGTGGTGTATTTCTTAGGTATATTGCTCTAGAGAAAGTTTAGCACTACTGAAATTTACACATTTTTCTGCAAACGGCAGTATTATAAAATGAATAGTCTTGCTTCAATTACATTAAAGTTTTACTCTCTCTTATCTACTGATAGTTCTTCTACTTTGCAAACATTTCATTTCTAGCCAGGCGTGGTGGCTCACACCTGTATTCCCAGCACTTTGGAGGTCAAGGTGGGAGGATTGTTTGAAGCCAGGAGTTTGAGACCAACCTCAGCAAAAAAGTGAGACTCTGTCTCCACAAAAAGATATTTTTAAAAATAGCTGGGTGTGGTGGCATGTGCCTGTAGTCCCAGCTACTTGGGAAGCTGAAGTGGGATGATTTGAGCCCAGGAGTTTGTGGCTGAGGTGAGCACCACTGTACTCCAGCCTGGGCAACAGAGCAAGACTCTGTCTTTAAATACATAAAATAAAAAGAAAATGAAAGCATTCAAATTATTTTAACTCCCATGGAACATATTTTTATGTATTACTTTCACATTGTATATTTCTGAATGAAGCCGGAAAACTGATATGTGTGATCTACCTATGCCATGTCCAGAGTTACACTTATTAAAAATAAAAAACAAATTAAAACTTTCAAGATTGTGATTCCAAGGAAATTATTTGCTCAATTAACATTTAAATTAACTAAGTTTAAGCAAAGTAAATAATCCTTAGCACAATGATGATAATATTGGTTAAAGTTTTTAACAATTTTATTAAAGCAAAATTCATATATCATATAACTAAACAATTTCAAGGGTACAATTCAATCATTTTTAAAGTAAATTTACCAAGTTCTGCAATCAAAATTCAGTTTTAATGAATTTTCACATTGTCAGTAAAATCTCTCATGTTCATTTACTAATAATGCTCATTCGCATAATTACCTCAAGAAACCACTAATTTACTTTCTCCCATTTGCCTTTTTCAGAAATTGCATAAAGATTCATATGGTATCTAGTCTCTTTGGTATGGCTTCTTTCAACTTAACCAATAATTATTGCAACTTAAAAAATTATTTTATTCCTTTCCAATTTAATTGCAAATGTAACTGGCAATGTTTGCACAGGATCTTCATAACTAAGTCTTCTTTTAATTACTATGTCATTGGGCTTATGCAAACACAATTTCACTAAAATATTGTGAAATTATTCTCTTTATCCAAATTTGTACTTTTTGTTTTCCTTTGACACTTGTTAATCTTCTTATAGAGAAAATTTATATTTCAGGTTTTTGAATCAAAATTAATGAAGACTAATATTTATAAATGTTTGCTAGTACACTTAATTATTGAAATCTATCTTCTAGAATGTGTCAACTTGTTTTGTGAAAAAACAAGATGTTAAAATTAATTCCAGATTCATTCAAGATATAAACAGCAAAAATGAAAAGTACTTGATTTTTAACTGATTCTTAAAATTTATTTATCTGAGAGTTTTATTTATTTATTTATAATTTTCTATGCATATAATTATATTAGTTGTAAATAATAGGGCATACATGTAATAGAAAAATATCTCCTATTAGGAGATATATATGTGTTTCCAATCTGTATAATTTGTATTAAGTTTTTATTTGGCTTATTTTATTGGTTATAATCTGCAGTAAAATATTGAAGATGATAGTTATAAGAATTTGTTTTTCCTGATTTGCAAAATAATAGCTTTAAATATTTCATCAATAAATATAAATATTATGAAATGAATTTTTTTGATATACATTATCAGCTTTAGGAGTGTTCTAATAATTACAATCATGAATGATGGGTTTTAAATATAATAAACTTTGTTTACCTGGAATTATAAGGAGATCATATTACTTTTCTTCTTTTTTAAATTTTTCTTCTGTAATATCTTTTATAAACCAATTATAATAGCATTACATAATAGAATAGTAAGAATAGGAGCCAATTAGAAATACCTATATATAGTTTCTTTCCCCCTTAAAACAAAATTTTACTCTTATAACAGTAATATCAGTGGCTTTTTCACTATTGTCTTACTTTTCATGATGCATTTACAATTATGTCACCTACAGGCTTATCTCTCAGATTTGAGTTTCTATTACACTTCTTTATTAACTGGAACAAGTGTTCTTTGTAGCATAAGCCATTCTCTATTGTGTAGTAAGAAAGTTTTAAAAACAAGCTCTGTTAGAAAGCAACTTAATATAGTTAATACTTAAGTGTGGGCTGAGAAGGGTAATGGAAATACATCAATGGCCAAAGAGTGGAAATTTGTTCATGTAAAAAAAAAAATGATCACTTCACTTTACTTGAAAATATGTGTTTTTTAGGGCATTAAGACAATTATGATGCTATAAATTAGGTTATACAGGTATGCTAAAGAGATGGTTTCAGTGTAAATATGAGTTTTCAATAGAACCTACTGAAAATGGTTTAATCCAAAGATGTGAATACTATATTTGAATCCTGATAAATGACAAAGTTGAAATAATAATGCATCAGTAAAGAAAAAATAAAATCTGTATATTTTTGTTTTTTAAATATACATGTATAATTTATTATTTTAGAAAGGGAATAATGGAAATATTTTAAAGAACTGTTAAGAAAAAAACACAATTGGACATTAGTTCAAACAATATAAAATGTTTTTTTTACAGAAAATATTGCAATAGGGGAAAAGGGACCTCAGCATAGAGCTGTGATCAGTTCCTGAAGACAGCATGGACAAGCTGGGATTTATAGCCAAGGACCAGGCTGGAGGTCTGCTGATGGAAAATAGCCAAGAGGAAACATTAAAGGTAAGGAAAGATTTATTTGACAGGATTTGTCCTGAAGGCAGGCCAGGGTGATCAAATTTCACCTGAAGAATGGTGAGGGAGGGGGAATTCTATCAGCTATCAAAAGTGATCAGATAGTAAATGTGGGTGGTTCTCTCTAAACTGACAGCAAGATTCTTACTAGAAATGGAAAATGTACCCCATGTTACACTATGCAGCCATAAAAAGGAATGAGATCCTGTCCTTTGCAGGGACCTGGATGGAGCTGGAAGCCATTATCCTCAGCAAACAAATGCAAGAACAGAAAATCAAATACCACATGTTCTCACTTATAAGTGGGAGTTGAATGATGAGAACATGTGAACACGGGGTCGGGGAGGGGGAACGACACACACCAGGGCTGTCAGAGGCTGGAGGGTGGGAGGAGGCAGAGCATCAGGAAGAATAGCTAATGGATGCTGGGCTTAATACCTAGGTGATGGGATGATCTGTGCAGGTAATCACAATGGCACACATATAACTATGTAGCAAACCTGCACATCCTGCACATGTACCCCTGAACTTAAACTAAAAGTTGGAAATATATTTTTAAAAAAGAAATGGAAAATGTAAAACTGATAAGGTAAGATGCCAATGTCAAGGCCTAGAAGGCTTAGATGAGCCTAACTAAAGTGTGGTCAAGGATAGAGTCTTCTGAAAATTATGTGAAAATATAATGAATGCTAGTTTATAAAAGAGTTAACAATTCATGCAGATACATAAAAAGCATGAAGTAATTATTAGCAATATGTGTTGTCTTTATTTTGTTGTCTCTTTGCAAACTTTTTACTCAATGATTCCTCTGATAACAAGTTATGGGAGAACCATTTGGAGAAAAAGTTGCCAGTGCTGTGATATGTCTGTTGGGTTTTATGAGATATAACGACTTTCAGATTGAACTATTAGTGTATGTAAAGCTAAGCTTAAATGAATATTGCTACCAGAGTTAAGCACTACCAGAGTTATGGAGTAAAAACGGAAAGGCTATGCCTCCATGAAAGCAACAAGAACAAGAACACTGGTAAAAACTGTCAAAATTAACACTTGTAGAATTTGAGAAATTGGCCAAATATTTGAAAAAATCTGAAGACATGTATGTAACAAAAATGGTTGAAACCCGGTGAAAACAGAAAGTTCGCTAGCATTTTACTCTCTTTCTATACATCCCTTCCCTGCTCCTTCCTGGCTTTGAAACCAACTGTTTCATGACTATACTAGTTTTGAAAAATAGCTACTCAAAGCAACTAGCATAGGTCCATTTTGGAGCCCCCCCATTAACCCAATCTCCAGAGAATTATCGATGGCAGCGATGGTCTGGAGCAGCCTCTGCGAAGACGCAGCAGGGCTGCAGCAGGTGAGGTGCAGCTGGGTCTGCACACTCCACAGACCCCACCAGAGCCAGGCACAGACAGGAGCACCGCCCCCTACTGAGTTAAAAGGGCAGGAGCTCCGCACTCCCAGACACAGCTGCAGCCACATGGCTAGGGCGCTGTACCTGGGCAACCTTGAGCTCTCATTGCGCAGGAAGCCACCTCTGCCCCTGTAGGCTTGGAAGTGCCTGCTCCCACTCCCTGGCCTCTCCCCACTCCCCCGCGCCCACTCCAATTTTGTAGCAAAGTTGTAGTCAAGCCTGGATATTTGTCGCAACCCAGCGGGGTGTGCAAATGTTTGGGGCAGCAGGGACATCAGAGCCCCTCCCCCTACCCGCGGCCCCCGCTACTTGGCTGCCTGTGAAGCTTTGAGCACAAACAAGCTCAGCTCCCCACCTCCCCTGCCACTTGCCACGTTGTGGGCCACCATAAGGAGTCCCAGACCTAGGAGATCCCCGAGCCAGGGCTGTAACACCCTCTTTCGGGCTCTGCGGTTCCTGGCATCTCCAAGCTTCTGGGCAGCAAGGCGTTCCCTTTGTCCAGACTCAGGGGAGCACAGAGGAAACTGAGTGCGGTACATCTGGCGGAGTTGCAGTCTCACAGGGAGCCAGCACCTGTGCCAGAGCCCCAAGCTGCCCGCCCCGTCACAGCAGCCTTTGTGAATGGCTGTGCCTAGTAGCCAGACCCCGCACTCCCTCACCCACACACCCCTCATTGCTCCATGCCTGGCTCACCCTAGGCAGATGTGGGATGCTGGTGGGTAATGTGAGCTGAGCACAACTTGCCAGGCTGAGTGGGCAGAACAAGCCCAGTGGGCACAAGCAATACTCAGGCAGAAGGTGTCGCCAGCTATAGAGTTTCCCGGCTAGCAAAGCAACACTCCAAGGATCCCGTGACATTATCATTATTTTTTATTAATATTGATAATTGTTAATCAACCAATTAGTGATTCAGCACGGGAGTTAAATATAAGATAAACATACAGAAATCAATTTTTAAATATACTGGTAATATGAGTTAAAAAATGGAAATGTTAACATGATATAAATTAAAATTGCACCAAAACCCACCTAATACATATAAGTTATTCTACAAAACATTGCTGAAAGAATTGTTTTAATATATAAATATATACATATTTATTTTAGTAGTTTTTTGGGGAACAGGTGGTGTTTGGTTACATGAATAAGTTCTTTCATGGTGATTTCTGAGATTTTGGTGCACCCATCACCCAAGCAGTGTACTGTACCCAATGTGTAGTCTATTAACCCTCATCCCCCTCCCATCCCCGGCCCCCAAAGTCCATTGTATCATTCTTATGCCTTTGCATCCTCATAATTTAGCTACCACTTATAAGTGAGAACATACAATGTTTGTTTTGTCATTGCTGAGTTACTTCACTTAGAATAATGGTCTCCAGTTCCATCTATATTGCTGCAAGTGCCATTATTTCATTCTTTTTTATGGCTGAATAGTATTCCATGGTATATATATATATTCCATTTTCTTTATCCACTAGTTGATTGATGGACATTTGGGCTGGTTCCATATTTTTTGCAATTGAAAATTGTGCTGTTTTCAACATGTGTGTGCAAGTATATTTTTCATATAAAGACTTCCGTTCCTCTGTGTAGATACCCAGGAGTGGGACTGCAGGATCAAATGGTAGATCTACTTTTACTTCTTTAAGAAATCTCCACACTGTTTTTCATAGTGATTGTACTAGTATACATTCCTACCAACAGTGTAAAAGTTTTCCCCTTTCACCACATCCATGCCAACATCTATTTTTTTTTGATTTTTTAAATACGGCCATTCTTGCAGGGGTAAGGTGATATCACATTGTGGTTTTGATTTTTATTTCCCTGATAATTAGTGATGTTAAGCATTTTTCATATGTTTGTTGGTCGTCTTTATATCTCCTTTTGAGAATTGTCTATTAATGTCCTTAGCCTACTTTTTTATGGGATTGTTTTTTTTCCTTGCTGATTTGTTTGAGTTCCTTGTACATTCTGGATATTAGTCCTTTGTTGGATGTATAGATTGTGATGATTTTCTCCCACTCTGTGGGTTGTCTGTTTAATTTGCTAGTCATTTATTTTGCTGTGAAAAAGCTTTTTAGTTTGTTAAGTTCCATCTATTTATCTTTGTGTTTGTTGCATTTGCTTTTGGGTTCTTGGTCATGAAATTTTTGCCTAAGCCAATGTCTAGAAGGGTTTTTCCAATGTTATATTCTAGAATTTTTATGGTTTCATGTCTTAGATATAAGTCTTTGATCCATCTTGGGTTATTTTTTATATAAGGTGAGAGATGAGGATCCAGTTTCATTCTTCGATATGCGGCTTGCCAATTATTCCAGGACCATTTGTTGAATAAATTGTCCTTTCCCCACTGTATGTTTTTGTTTGCTTTGTCGAAGATCAGCTGACTATAAGTATTGGCTTTATTTCAGGGTTCTCTATTCTATTCCATTGGTCTATATGCCTGCTTTTATACCAGTCCCATGCTGTTTTGGTGACTATGGCCTTATGGTATCGTTTGAAGTTGGGTAATGTAATGCTTCAGGATTTGTTATTTTTGCTTAGTCTTGCTTTGGGTATGCAGGCTCTTTTTTGGTTCAATATGCATTTTAGGATTGCTTTTTCTAGTTTTGTGAAGAATGTTGGTGGTATTTTTATGAGAATTGCAATGAATTTGTAGGTTGCTTTTGGCAGCAATCTACAAATGGTCATTTTCACAATATTGAGTCTGCCCATCCATGAGCATGGGATGTGTTTCCATTTGTTTGTGTCATCTATGATTTCTTTCAGCAATGTTTTGTAGTTTTCCTTGTACAGGTCTTTACCTCCTTGGTTAAATATATT
Organism: Homo sapiens; assembly: GCF_000001405.40. Taxonomy (NCBI): domain Eukaryota; kingdom Metazoa; phylum Chordata; class Mammalia; order Primates; family Hominidae; genus Homo; species Homo sapiens. The sequence continues at coordinate 84,834,652 of NC_000013.11, forward strand.
CCTAAGTATTTTATTTTATTTATTTTGCAGCTATTGTAAAATGGTTTGAGTTATTGATTTGACTCTTAGCTTGGTCACTGTTGGTGTATAGCAGGGCTACCGATTTGTGTACGTGAATTTTGTATCCTGAAAATTTGCTGAATTCATTTATCAGTTCCAGGAGTTTTTTGAATAAATCTTTAGGATTTTTTAGGCATATAAGAAAATAGAAAGACAATATGAGATTATCTTATCTGTCTGGAAACTGTCTGTGAAGCTCCTTTCCCAGGCCTTATCTTTATTAAATCTAACTAAAGCTTTTTCTATGTGAATACACTTATATATACGGCATTTATCAAATACAATCTGTAGTAGTTGTTTAACCCTCAAAGTTGTCTGAGAGGTCAATACGACTTCAGTCTCACAAATGGCTATTAAAAGTTTTAAAAGGAAAAACAAGGGAATAAGATACCCACACAGGCAGCGAGGGGTGGCTTATGCCTGTAATCCCAGCACTTTGGAAGGCTGGGATGAGTGTATCACTTGAGGTAGGAGTTCCAGACCACCTTGGCCAACACGGTAAAACCCCACCTCTACTAAAAATACAAAAATTTGCTGGAGATGGTGGCATATGCCTGTAGTCCCAGCTACTCGGGAGGCTGAGACACAAGAATCCTTGAACCTGGGAGGCAGAGGTTGCAGTGATTCTAGATTATGCCACTGAACTCCACCCTGGGCAACAGACCAAGACTCTGTCTCAAAAAAAAATTATATATATAAAACCACAGGGAGATTTACAAACCTCCAATCTATTCTGGGGAATTTTGAAGGCCACCTCTATGTGCAGGGATGTGTGCATGATAAAGAGCTGAAAATGTCCTAATATCTTACCTCTGGATAACCTTGTACTTCACTTAAGGAAAAGCGAAGACTAGTACATGAATTATGAAAATAAGGAATGAAACAGTGGCATTATTTTGCACCTAAAGAAGGAGAAATTATTTTTAGGAATGCAATAAAGAAATTTATACCAATAAACAAGTGAATCAGATGAAATGGATATATCCCTATAAAGACATAAGATTAAAAACTGACTCAAGAAGAAATTTTAAAAAATGAATAGAAATATAAAAAGTGAAGAGATTGAATCAGTAACGTAAAATTTTCCACGAAAAAAATCCCAGGCCCAGGTGACTTAATTGATGAATTCTGTCAAGCATTTAAGGGCAAATTAACATTAATCCTTAGAAAACTCTTCCAAAACACAGAATGAGAAAACACCTCCATATTAATTCTATGAGATCAATATATTAAATTCCAAATGTGACCAAAATATTGTGAGAAAATAAGACTGCAGACATGTATCCCTTATAAATAAAGATGCAAAAATCCTCAAAAAATGCTAGCAGCTGGATCCTGCAATATATGAGAAGTATTTATACATTAGTTCCAGGTGGGATTTATCCCAAGATTTGTTTAACATACAAAAACAAATCAGTTTAATGTGCCACATTAATAGAATAAAGAATAAAAAATACATGATCTCAAAGGGTAGAGAACAAAGCATTTAACATGTTAAACCAATGTGTATGATTAAAGAACACAGATAATTCAGAATAGAAAAGAGCTTGTTCAACCTCATAAAAGGTATCTATGAAAAACCAACAACAAACATACTTGATGGTGATAAAGGAATGCTTTCCCTCAAAGATCAGGAAAAACACAAGGATAGCTGCTCTTGATACTTATATTCACTATTGAAGTTGAGGTTCTAGCCAGAGCACTTGGGTAATAATAAAAAACTGGACCGACATTGGAAAGAAAGAAGACAAACTATCTGTATTCATAGGTGTCATGATCTTGCACATAGAAAATCCTAAGGAATTCACTAAAATAATACCCTTAGAATGAATCAGTTTGATACAATTATAGATTGATGTACAGAATTCAATTATATTTCTATACACTAAAAATGCCCAATCAGAAAATGAAATTAAGAAATTAGTTCCATTTATAATAAAATCAAAAAGAATGACTCATTTAGAAAAAAAATCAACAAAACTGGTAGAAAACTTGTACACTGAATATTATTAAACATTGTTGAAACATAATAAACCTAAGTTAATGTAGGAACTCCCATACTTAATGCTTGGAAATAATACTTTTAAGATGGCAATACTCTGAAAATTGATCTACCATCTAAACACAATCTATTAAAATCCCAACAGTTTGCTTTTCGAATTTTATACCTTATCCTAAATTTCATACAGAAATTCAAGGGTCACAGAGTAGCCAAAACAGCCTTAAATACGAAGAACAATGTTAGAGTATTCACGCTCACTGATTTCAAAACATATAAAAAGCTCACTAACCAAGATGGTGGTAATGTGTTAGGCTTAACATACAGATAAAGAGAACAGACTTGTAAGTCCATAGATAAATGCCTAAATATGGTCAATTCAACTTTGATGAAGGTGCAAAAAATTCAATGAAACAATAATAGTGTTTTGAACAAATGGTGCTAGGACAACTGAATATCCATGCACAAATAAATGCAGTTGACATTTTCATGCAATACACAAAAATTAACTCAAAATAAACTATAAGCCAAAATATAAATGATAAAATGATAAAGAACTTAGTTCAAATGGGGTAAATATTTGAGACATTGGGTTTGGAAATGGCTTCTTTAATATGACACCAAAACCACAAGCAACAAAAGAAAAACAATGATGAATTGGATTTCATCAAATTTCAACACTTTTCTTTTCCAAAAGAGGCCATCAAAAATTAAAATACATGCAAAGAAAGGAAAAAAAATCAAATTACACATTTTTAAGGTATTTTTGTATAAAATATATAAAAATCACTTAGAAATTTACAGTAAAAATCAAATAACCTAATTATTCTTTTAAATAGACATTTATTTAAAGAAGTTTTATGGCCGGGCACGGTGGCTCACGCCTGTAATCCCAGCACTTTGGGAGGCCAAGGCGGGAGGATCACGAGTTCAGGAGATCGAGACCATCCTGGCTAACACGGTGAAACACGGTCTCTATTCTACTAAAAATACAAAAAGTTAGCCGGGCGTGGTGGTGGGCGCCTGTAGTCCCCGCTACTCAGGAGGCTGAGGTGAGAGAATGGCATGAACCCCAGAGGCGGAGCTTGCAGTGAACCGAGATGCGCCACTGCACTCCAGCCTGGGCGAAAGAGCGAGACTCCATCTCAAAAAAAGAAAGAAAAGAAAGAAACGAAAAAAGAAGTTTTACCCAAATAGCAACAAGTAGGTGAAAAGATGCTTAAAATTATTAGTCATTAGGCAAATGCAAATCAAAAACCCACAAAATATCACCTCATACTTATGAAGATATGTAAAATAAAAAAACAGAGAATAGTGTAAAACAGATATATGCAAGAAATTGAAACTTTCATACATTACTGATGGGATTGAAAAATGGTGCAGTCACTTCAGAAAAGTTTCATACTTATGAAGATATGTAAAATAAAAAAATAGACAATAGTGTAAAATACAGATATATGCAATAAATTGAAACTTTCATACATTACTGATGAGATTCAAAAATGGTGCCATCACTTCAGAAAACAGTTTGGCAGTTCTTCAAAATGATAAATATACAGTTGTAATATGATCCAGTAATTTCAGTCCTAGGTATTTACTAAAGAAAATTAGAACTATATGTCCATACAAAAACATGTATATACAAATGTACACAGCAACATTATTTATAATAGCCCAGGTATAGAAACCACTCAAATGGCCATCATTGGAGAAATAGATACACAAAATGTTATGTATCTATGCAATGGAAAATTAGCCAGCCAGAAGAAGTAATGAAGTACTGATACATGCTACAAGATGGGTGAACCTTGAAAACCTTATGGCAATTGGAAGAAATCAGGCACAAAAAGTAACATATTATATGATTACATTGATATAAAATGTCCAGAATAGACAAATGCTCAAGTACAGAAAATGGAAGAGTGTTTGTGAGGGACAGTTCTGGTGAAGCAGGAATGGGGAATGACTACTAAACAGGTATGAGCTTTCTTTCTGGGATGACAGAGAAGTCCTATAAAATAAGATAGTAGAGATGGTTGCACAACTTTACAAGTTCACTAAGAACCACTGGATTGCACTCTAAATACATTCATTTTACAATATGTGCATTATATTTCAAAAACTGTTATACAGAGAGGGCAAAATGTTTCAAAAAATAGCACTCAAGGCAAGATGCAGACCATTCTATGTGTAATAAATAGTATAAATCTGTGGTTTAATTATCTTTGGAGTGAAGAGAATAAAAGTAGTGAACATTCAAAACAGTATTTGTTTACTCTGTGAATATAAGGTATATCTACAAAATACAAAGTGAAAGTATTTAGTGTAGATATATATCTTTCTGATATACTTGTGCCCTATACCTGAGGTCTAACTTTAAGATAATTTAGAGTGATCACTAATGAAGAAAATATTGATATGACATCAGGAAAGTTACATAGTATTTTAGCTACAATTGTTGGGTCAGTGCAAATTCATAACTTTAGAAATCAAAAAAAAAAAAAAAAAACACAAAAGGCCGGGTGCAGTGGCTCACACCTGTAATCCCAGCACTTTGGAAGCCGAGACAGGTGGATCACGAGGTCAGGAGTTCAAGACCAGCCTGACCAATACGGTGAAACCCCGTCTCTACTAAAAATACAAAAATTAACCAGGCATGGTGGCGTGCACCTGCAGTCCCCGCAACTTGGGAGGCTGAGGCAGGAGAATCGCTTGAACCCGGGAGGCGGAGGTTGCAGTGAGCCAAGATATTGTCACTGCACTCCAGCCTAGGAGACAGAACAAGACTCCATCTCAAAAAAAAAAAAGTATCCAATCCTCAGGTAGTTTCTTATCTTACCCAATCATATAAAACCTTTAATGTTCACACAGGAAATTTAGATATAATAATGTGAGCTGAAAAATTTGTGGGAGCAAGAGCAGGTGTTTGGATGATCCCAGCTGTTAAAATGAAAAAACCATTTAAAGCTAGAGATAGGATGATTACTTTTGAGAAATGGTATTTGTAAATGTGTTACTACTTGGTACAGTGAAAGAAAAATATGTCAGATATTTATTATAACAAAATAATTATTATCTCTGTCTATAGTAGTTGTCTCCTTAATGACGTGTCTCTACCAAAAAAAGGGATCAAATCAGTGTTATTTTCATTAGTTTACTATGTTTTCATTTAATTATAAGACATTGTTATTCTTCTTTTCTCTTGGTATTATATCCTGGCAGGAAAGTAATAACATAGAAAAATATATGAAACAATAAAAAAAGGTGGAATATTTTTAATAGACTAAATTTTACAAAGAAATTGTAACTGCAGAAGAAAAAAATGAGAAAAATAGGGACATACCAAGAAGAAATATTGATAAGAGGGGCCTCTGAATGTAGAAGAAAGGGAATAATACTAGCTTTAATTGTAAAAATTGATGCAGCTGACTGCATCAATAAATTCAAAAGAAATTTCATTTTAGCCTATCCTTTGAAGACAAAAATATCAAAGGGTAGCAAACAAAAATTATGAAAGTTTTATTTTTAGTAAAAAGTTCATGATACCAAAATTTAAGTGTATAATTAAAGCTGTATTTCATATACTCTACATCCAAATATCCTGATCCTCAGACTGTCACTTTACATTAATGATACTAATGAGAAAACCACAGGCAAATGTGGTAAATAGTAATTAGGAACTAATACTCAGCCTGCATCCCCTCCCAGAGGCCATTTCTGTGTTGTGAAACTGTTTTTACACAGTTTAAGTTTCACCCCTGGGCAGATTTCCTTATGGTCAAGAGTGAAGTTGGAAACTAGCATGTTTAACAAATGTGATGTTGTAAAGGGTAAATGCATTACATGTATAAAAGCTGACATGCTGGACAATGAGCTCCCAGGTATAGATGAACTGTTACTTCTCCTTTTGGCTTGAGTTGTAGGTAATAAATCTATTCCTATCTATTCATGTTGCCTTAACTATTCTACTCCAACATAACTGCATGAAATGAAATTTAAAAAATTCCACTACTGGTAAATGATTATTTTCCTTATGCTCTGTGCTAATATTCAGACCCATCTAGCACCCTGTCATTTGGATAATTCGGCCTGCACATCTCTTATCTGCATGCATGAATCTAGGGATGGTACAAACATTATATGTGAAATAAAGAAAGCTACAAAATTATACATATGTAATTTATATTTGTATGTATATATTTGATCTATAGATAAAATAACCTGTTATTTATATGAGTATAACTTGATATAGAAATTTGAATAAAATTTTAGCACCGTTAAACATGAGGTGATATTGAAGAGCACACACATATTTTTGTGTTTTTCTTATTTACATTTTAAAAATAAACATGTGTTTTTAATTTAATCTAATTACTTTCAACGAATGAGTCAATTGTAGTCAATAATAGAGGTTAGCATTTTCCCACCTTGCTTCCAGTTGCCAGGTTTTGTAGAATCCAGAGAGAAACTGATTATGGCAAAGTTAATGGCTGTGGAGTTTGATGAAATAGCAATGCTGGAAGAAATGTGGCAGAAAAATCAGACGAGCTCCATGGTGATAAGTGTAATTCACTTCCTGTTGAAATGCATGTTTCCTTTGATGCAATTTTTGGTACCTAAACTCTCTCAAAGTTTGAAAAATACAAATAATTTGGTATAATTTTCATTTTTCAAGGCAGTGATTTAATTAAGTACAAGATATTCAATTATTTAAAACTCAAATAATGTACCTTTAACTTCACACATTTTTTGTTTATTAAGATAGCAGAAGGCTTCACCTAAAAGAGAAAAGAATTTTTTTTAGGAATGAAATCTCTAAATTAGAGTTAGTTGTATATAGCCTTCTTTACCCTTCCTTTCCTACTCCTCTGACCAAGAAGAAATAGTGGGCAAAGGCAGAATTGTTACCATTACATTGATAGTATCTTACATTAATAAATCCTAAATCTTTTGCTTTTCTATATTTCCTTCTTGTATTTCCTCGCATTAAAATTGTAAAATAAATTTGTTAGATACATGTCCCTAGTTAAAGATTGGCTTGAAAACACCTACCTTTTTATCTCTTTTATCAAAATATATATTCACATATATTAGGTATTATATATTTCTGTTTAATTGACTTGGTCATTTTTTATCAATATGTGATGCATTTCTGTTTATTCCCTACTGATACCTATTGAGAAGGATATATCACAATATTATTTCTTACAGTATTATGTGAAATATTTTCTGATATTAGATTTCAGTACTTCTCTACAAAACAAGCAAACAAAGTTAATCTGGCTAAACTATATAACCTCTATGTATCACTACATAATTCTTTCTCAGTGCTTTTTCAGAATTAGAATGTTTATATGTAAAGAAGTGCTTTTTACATTGTCTGACACATAGAAGATACTTAACCAGTGTTTGTTCTATTTTATTAATGCTGTTGGTTGTTGTTGTTGTCGTTGTTTTAGAGATGGAGTCTCACTCTGTCACCCAGGCTGGAGTGTAGTGACACGAACATAGCTCACTGCAGTTTCGAACTTCCGGGCTCAAGCAATCCTCCTGCCTCAGTCTCCTGAGTAGCAAGAACCACAGGTGTGTACACCACCATGCCCTGCTCATTTGTTATTTTTTTCTGTAGAGACAGGGTCTTACTATGTTGCCCAGGCTAGTCTCAAACTCCTGGGCTCAAGTGATTCTCCCATCTTGGCCTCCTAAAACTTTGGGATTACAGGTATAAGGCACTGACTCAGCTATTCTCCAGTCATACAACTATGTAATTATTGAGAGATTATCATGAATTGATTCTGTGGTAGCGGGTACATCTTATGTAAACTTCAGCTTTACTGGTGTCTGCTACTCGCTTGTTTAATTTCAGTGACTCTGCTGCTCTCATTTTGATCTCAGTCATGTATAGTATCAACATTTTCTTGCACTTTCTGTATTCGGCTTGTTTGTAAGCTACTCACAATTATTTCATGTAAGAAGGTTTCCACGTTCTTTCATATGGCATTATGCCCTATTGCCTTAAGGGCTGAGAGTTAATAGCAAAGACCCCAAGAATAAACACTACAGTTTCTGTGACTACAACATTTTACAAACTTTTATTTGCTATTTTTTAAAATATCTCCACCTGCCCAACATATATTTATTACCTATTGCTTTAATATTATGCATCTCCATTAATATAAAATACGTTGTATTCCTCTGACAGATCATTTGGGGATTCTTTAAAAAATATTCCATGCCCATTTATTTTTCCGTTCAACTATCAGATAAACCATGGCCAATGAATGGTTTGAATGTCTTTGGTGCTAACCCTTATGGTATTGTGCAGGCTTTAGGGACACATAATACAACAAAATGTTTTATAAATCAAAACTTGTTAAGAAACCAGCGGTCCTGTGACACATATATTGACCTAGAGTGCTCAGATATATTGAATACTTTTCCAGATAACTTTTTAAAAATAATGGCCAAATAAAATTAAAATTCTGCACTGATTTGAAAGTACATAATCAGCATACTGCTTGAATATCTTTATGCTGTGTACAGGAAACCATTTCCTCAATGGACTCATTCCCTCTAGGTCTATTTTTGGATGATTTGGTTGGGGTATTTTAAATTCACCTTCCCTATCCCCTAGTAATATTTAGCATTCCCCTAGAGAATGTGAATTCATTCATCCTGAAATATCCATTGATGACAACATCATTATTGATTTTACCTGTATTGGGATGATATGGCAATTATGTAAAGGCATAATCTGTTTAGGTATCTATGTTAGAGACATTTGGCATAAAGAAAATTTTACATTTTGCAAATAGCTTAGTCATTCATTCAATCACACAACTATATATTTACTGTGAGGTTATTATGACTCAGAACTATGGTGGCTGGTAGCAACGATTACACTTAATGACTGCTATCCTCTTTTTAATTTCAGTGGTGTCTCTTTTGCTTTTATATTTTAGTGAGGTATAGTGTTAATAATTACTTGTGAGTTTTTATGTTCAGATTATTTGCAAGCTGCTCATAAACCTTTCATATAAACTGCCTTTTGCATTATTAGCAAAGCACAGAAATAGCTCACATGTTTAAAAATTTAAATCATTGAAAAAGAATTTTTTACTGTCTTCACAAATGTAAAATAAAAGACTATATGGTAAATTTCCATTTTAACTTCATATGCTTTATTTGAATTTTAGATATTTTGAAAAGTTAATATGAAATATGAATATGATTCGCAAGGCACAAGTGGTTCTCTTTCCAGATCCAGTGTCTGATAATACTTGGTAGGTTTTGATTCCCTAGACATATCCTAAAATTTTCCTTAGTTTTATTTTTACTTTTGCAATTTATGCAAACTGAAATGTATACTTGGATGAAAATATCCCAAGCATGTTATAAAATGAGCTCAAATTCTTTCATTCTCATGAAAACTTAATAGATTATTACAGTTGATATTGTACTTAGTAGAATTATTTGACATCTGTTTACATAAATTACATTCTCTGCAAAATTTTCAGTGTGCTGAGGGAGATAACTACTTTTTTACATGGTTTTCCCTCCTCAAATGTACACATATTAATTTGATTAAAATAGACCAATTAAATGAATGGAAAATAAACTTTCCTCCTAATTTTTTGGGAATAAACTATTTCAAACTTAGTCGTCAATCAAGTATGAGAAACTGGTGCATGCTGACTTAGTTATAAATTTGCTTATTTTATTGATACCATATAGCATTTAACTTTATGTTCTCACTGAATTTTAATCCTATTAAAATTCTCCTGGCAGTTCTATTCAGAGAGAAAAGTTAGAATTTCTACAAAACTTAAAATTATTTATAGATGAGTATCTCAATATATTTTTGTTGAGATATATCTAGGAGGATAGTTTATGTTTAGTTGTTGAAATACATCAATATTGAGCTCTTGGTGTGTCTCAACCAAATAGCCACATAGGGGAGCTCTAACCCAGCAAAAGAATAAATCACCTGCTAAACAGGATACCAAAACAATATTTTTTTCTTTTCAAAATGAAATCCAAAGAGAGTTTTAGCCATTTTTACATTATTCCAATTATATTCTTTACATGCCTCTCAGAAATGTTTACCTGAAAATTACGTGTCACATTCAAAATGATTTACAGCAAAAGCCTTTTTCCCCCTGCTAACCTGTGTCTATTCTACATTAGCATGAAATTGCATTGCAATAGCTAGAGATTTTAGTTCAAAGCAATTATACTCAATAAAATGACTATGAATTTAGTTTGCCTGCAGTAACTGATGAATGGAAGTGTTCATTGACTGTATAAAGATAAAAATATGGCTGAGCCCAGTGGCTCATGTCTGTAATCCCAGCACTTTGTGAAGCCGAGGTGGGTGCATCACCTCTGGTCAGGAGTTTGAGACCAGACTGGCCAAAGTGGTGAAAGCCCATCTCTACTAAAAATACACACACAAAAAAAATTAGCCGTGCATGGTGGTGCATGCCTGAATCCCAGCTCCTTGGGCAGGAGGCAGGAGAATCACTTGAACCTGGGAGGCGGAAGTTGCAGTGAGGAGAGGTTGTGCTACTGCACCTCATCCTGGGAACCTGGGCAACAGAGTGAGTGAGATGCCGTCTCAGGAAAAAAAAAAAGTGGGGGGGGAGATGAAAGTATCAGAGCAAATCTTTAATAATGTATAGTTAATTCATGGTAAAAATGACTATTTTTAACTCTCTGTCCTATATTGAGTACATATTTCAACACTTTCTGCCTGTGTGGTAATTTTAACTGAACTAGAACATTTGTTTTGTGTTTTATATTATGCAGTTTAAGAATCCTGAATCCAAAAATCTGAAACCCAAAATGTTCCAAAATTCAAAACTTTTCAAATACCAACATGATGTTCAAATAAAATGCTCATTGAAACATTTCAGAGTTCAGATTTTGGAATAAAGGATGCTCAACCAGCATGTATAATACAAATATTGTAAAATCAAAAAAAAATTGAAATCTAAAACACTTGAAAACCATTTGGAAAAAGGAGACTCAACCTGTAAAATGAAACACAATGTAAAATAAAATATCATTAAATGCTTTTAAAAAAATGATTGAAAGTCATCACTTAATAGTACATAATTCTTAATAGTTTGATTTTTTAGTTTTAACTAAATTTATTTCATAAATATTTCCAAATGATTTTAACAAAGAGAAGAAAAAACATGCTTTTGGGGGATTACTTTCAGAATAGGAGCATGAGAAACTACACAGAACCTCTCCCAAGAAAATCAACTATGAATGGCAAAAGCTAGTAAAAATACATTTGTATAAACAATTTAGCTTTTAAAGACTCTGCAAATTGTCCTAAGAGCATGCAGCAAATGAAGAAGCAATAAATCTTATTAAGAACAGTGAAAGTCTATGTCACTCGGGCTCCAGCCTATCCCTTCTAGATCAGAGGACTGAAACTCTGCTTGGATTGAGTGTGGCTAAGAAAACAGGGCTTATTCTCTTTGTCTCAGCTCCTGGTCAATGGTTATAGTATATGAATGGAAAGGCGGCAAACCACTAGCATTTCTCAAAACCCTCAGTTCCATGTCTTGAAAGCTAACTCCAGGTGATTGCCATAAAGAGGCTGGGCTCCCCCCATCCCTTTATCTAGCTCCTATTCCGAGGGCTGAGGCTATACCTCAGGTGTGGCAAGCCAAAATTAGACCCCCAATTTCTGCTGCCTCAGCTCATTTTTATGGTATAGGTTCAATGCTAAAAGAGATAAGCCAAGATGACCAGAAGTTACAAATAAAAAAAGCAAACAACAACAATAAGTCCTAGAGAGAGGTGAGATTATTATCCAGAGCTGATATAATACATTGCCAAACTCGTCCTGATTCCAACAAAAAAAACTATGAGACATGCAAAGAAAGAAGAAAGTGACCATATATACAAAAATAGCAGGCAAGGAACTGCCTGTGAAAGGTCAGCTATGTGGAACTTCAGAAAGATTTGAGAGAAACTATTATAGATAAGCTCAAAAAAACACAGAAAATTGTGCATAAAGAAATAATGTATGATGACAATTTGTCCTCAAATACTAAATATCCATAAACAGAAGTTATTTTTGGAAAATTGAAATTCACAATCTAAATAGCAGCATAACACATGAAAATTACACTATTATAGGGTACATTTTGTATTCTATCATTGTGGGTGACAAAATTAGTATATTATAGGCGGGTCAAAAGTAGACTTGAATGTGCAGAAGTGAGGTTTAATTAACTTGATGATTGTTAGAGACTATGTAATCTGAATAACAGAGACAAAGATTGATGAAAATGAACAGAGCCTCAGCAAAATGCAGATCATTATTAATCACAACATATGAATGATGTAAATAGCAGAGAGGAAGAAAAGGTGTACAAAATATATTTGATGAATCACTAAAATCTTTCCAAATGTGAGGAACAGCATTAATGTAATTCTCCAATAAGCTACAAATCAATAAATGCAAAAAGATTCACACAAATTCAAATTATATTAAAAATGATGAAAAGCTAAGAAAGTCTTGAAGGCAGCAAGAGAAAAATAACATCACTTAAAACGAAATGCAGATAAGATTAATGGCAGACCTCTCATCAAAACAATGGAGGCCTGCAGGCAGTGGGATGACATATTCAAAGGGCTAAAAGGAAATAAATAAATAAATAATTGTCAAACAAGAATCTTAAGTTCAGCAAAATAAGTTTTACAAATCAAGATGAGAAAATAAAGACATTCACAGGTAAACAATTGAAAAACATGTGTTATTAGCAAACTTTTCTTATAAGAAGTATGAAAGAAAGATTTTCTAACTGAAAGGAAGTGACTCCAAACAGCAATTTGGACACACACAAAAAAATGTTTTAACGAACTAACTCAAAAAAAAAAAATAGAAAACATTAACAGATTTGGAATGTTAAATTAAAAATATTAATGAATGCAAAAGAAAGCAGCAAAAGGGGGATACAGGAAGAAAATACATGAGGCATATAAATTGGAAGATATAAATCCAACTATATCAATAGTAACATTAAATATTATTGGTTAAAAATCTCATGAATGAATGGCTGGGCGTGGTGGCTCACACCTGTAATCCCAGAACTTTGGGAGGCCAAGATGGGTGGATCACGAGGTCAGGAGCTCGAAACCATCCTGGCTAACATGGTGAAACCCCATCTCTACTAAAAATATAAAAAAGTAGCCGGGCGTAGTGGCAGGCACCTGTAATCCCAGCTACTCATGAGGCTGAGGCAGGAGAATGGCGTGAACCCAGGAGGCGGAGCTTGCAGTGAGCCCAGATGGCACCACTGCACTCCAGCCTGGGCGACAGAGTGAGACTCCATCTCAAAAAGAAAAAAAAAATCTGATGAATGAATAAACAGGATTTTCATTAATAATTAAACAAGAACAAACAGAAACAAACAAAACAAATATCAAATGCTCTATATTGAAGACGCTCTTTAAAAATAAAAGGTCAAAAATAAAAGAATGGAAAAGTGTATTATACAAATAGCAATAAAAATAAGGCTGAAACAGCTATACTAATATTAGACAAAATTGATTTAAAACAGACAAAAGAATCAGAGACAAAGAAACATATGAAAATAATAAAAATGGTAAATCCATACAAAAATGTAATTATGTGCATATACGCACATAAGAAAATAGCCCAAAATGTAGGAAACAAAAGTGAAAGACGTGAAAGAAGAAATATGTAATTCAAAAGGAATAGTAGGAAACGTTAATACCTCATAACAATAATGGGTAGAATAGATTGGTGAAGATGAACTGGAGAAAATGTGATTAACACTAAAATACAAGTCTTAACAGATATTTTTAGAAAATTTCACCCAGTAATGATAGAATATAAAGTATCTGCTATACATGAAACATCTTCAGAATACACAAGACGCCAAATCATGAAGTAAGCTTCAGTGTATCTGAAAAGATTTAAATCCTAAAAAGTATTTTCTTCAATCACAATGGAATATTATAATTCAATAACAGAATGAAACTTGAGAAATTTACAAATAAGTGGAAATTAAAATAAAACACTCCTAAATAGCTAATGAGTCACAAAATCACAGAGGAATCTAGAAATACTTTGAAATAAATGAAAATAAAGGCACAACAAACCAAAACTCACAGAATACAACTAAATTAGTGCCTAGAAGCAAATTTATAGCTGTAAATGCCCCTATTAAAAAGAATGAAGTTCTCAAATTAATACCATATCTTTCCATCATAAGAAACTAGAAACAAGAAAATAAATGGAAGCAAGGAAAGAAAATAATAAAGATTAGGGCAGAAATAAAGAAACATTAATGGAAAATTTTTGAAACCAAAAGTTGATTCTATAAAAAGTCAGGAAAAGAAAATGCCAATAAACTTTAAGGTAAAGAGACCAAGGGGAAAAAAGAAACAGGAAGACTCAAATTGTTTAATTATTTCAATTTGATTTCAATTATAGAAAATGTAGAAACAAATTTGCCTAGGATCAGGAATGGGAGAGATAAGAAGAAATAAGAAGTAACTGTTATTGCGTATATGAGATTTTCTGAGCGGGGGATTGATGATAGTTTTCTAAAATCAATTTTGGCAATGTTTGTACAATTCCATGAATGAACTAAAAAAATTTAATTTTATACTTGAAGTGGGTTAATTATATATGAATTACATCTCAGAGCTATTAAATATAAAATTATCAATATATGACTAGCAATCAGAATGAAGAGGTCACAAGCACAGCATACTGAATGTCATATTATTTCAGTCAACACATGGCTGAAATTTACAGAAAATAAACCAGTAGACTCTATTTCAAAAAGCCTAAAAAGTAGGATACAAAATATAAGTAGTCAATACTATGTGTAAAATTTAATATTTTAAAATTCTAATATTAATTACCACAAGCTCATTTAGTTTATAGAGGTAGAATTGAGAAGTCCATATTATGAACACATCAACCATTAGAATTTAATATCAACCTAATTACTTGATGGTGGCAACTTGATTAATGCAATTGATGCAAAAGTCAGAGTGAGGGCCTAAGGTGAAAATGATGTGCGATATATTAAATGCATACTACTGCTCCTTCTATTTCATGCAACAATTGTACATAAATGAGCTTTCTGTAAATAAACATGCAATACATTTTTCAAAATATTTAAAATTCACACTAACTTGTTATCAATAAACAGACTTGAGTTCCAGCACAGTAGATCATTAAGTTAAAAAGCCTAAATGTGTTCTTTTTCAAAATGAATGCATTCGAAAATTCTAAATTGTCAACACACTTTATAATCTCTGTATATTATAGAGGACATAGTAAATCATGTGCTCTATGTACTGAGAGAGGCTGGTACCCTGAAAATAATACCCAGCTTTCATCGCTAACGGGATCCAGGTAATGTTCTGATAGTGGGAATGCTAGAAGATTAGACAAGAAAGGGGAAAAGTTAAACAATTCCCAGTTCTGTCTTTCTTCTGTCTTTTTTACCCATCCATCAGCAGAGGACAGATCTGGGCTGCAGCATCATCATCAGCTTCAGGGCCTGCAATGTGAAACCTCTTTCTTGGTCTCAGTACCAGAAAATTTTGCCCTGGCCCCTGCTGTGCAGCACCAAGGCAGCTCCTCTGCATGTTCAACAGTGACTTTCAGCAATGACTTTCACAGTGTTTCCATCAACCACCATGACGGGTCTCCTCCCTGAGATCCCAGCCATGTCTGTGCAGCCTTATTATAGTAGTATCAGATTGCCGTGTGTATTTGCAAAATTTTTCCTGCACACTTTTTTCTTTCTTTTCACTCTTTAAAATGTTTATTATGGTAAGATATAACACCATAAAATTTATTATTTTAATTGTTTTAAGAGTACAGTTCAGCAGCATTAAGTACATTCACATCGTTGTGCAACTATCACCACCATATGTTTCCGGAACTTTTCATCATTCCAAATTGAAACTCTGTACCCATTAAACAATAAGTCCACGTTCGTCCTTCTCCCAGGCTCTGGTAACCGCTGTTCTACTTTGTTTTTTTCTTTCTGACTTTTATTTTAGGTTCAGGGGGCACATGTGCAGGTTTGTTTCATGGGTAAATTGTTTGTCATACGGGTTTGGTGTACAAATTATTTCGTCATTCAGGTAATGAGCGTAGTGCCCAATAGGTAGTTTTCTGATCCTCACCCTCTTCCCACTCTTTTCCTAAATGAACTAACGCAGGAACAGAAAACAAAATACCACACGTTCTTATTATAAGTGAGAGCCAAACACTGAGTACACATGGACACAAAGACCTGAACCCTTTTATATACAAATTCCCCCCTTCACTTTTCAGAACTAGCGCTACTTTTTTTTTTTTTTTCCAGTCAGTTTTCCAGGCTAGAGTTTGTACTGGAACCCTTGGCTGCAAAAAATCCTCTCACCTACCAAAGTGGTGAAGTTATAGGCACGAGCCACCATGCCCTTATTCTGTTTGTTCTGGTTGTATATCATGTCTCCCAGTTACTTTACCTGCCTCTCTTTGCTTTTCCAGCTTGTGCGAGTAAAAAATCATTGTATCGAATCTCTTATGTCTGAAATAACTAGACTGCATGTTTTGATTTTTCCCGACTTGACTCAGAACTAGAAATTGACAGACCTTTTATTTTATTTATTTATTTATTTACTTTTGAGACGGAATCTCGCTCTGTTGCCAGGCTGGAGTGCAGTGGTGCAATCTCGGCTCACTGCAACCTCTGCCTCCCGGGTTCAAGCAATTCTCCTGCCTCAGCCTCCCAAGTAGCTGGGACTACAGGTGTATGCCACCACACCTAGCTAATTTTGTATTTTTAGTAGAGACGGGATTTCACCATGTTGGCCAGGATGGTCTTGATCTCTTGACCTCGTGATCCGTCAGCCTTGGCCTCAAAACGTAGTGGGATTACAGGCATGAGCCACCACACTCAGCAGACAGACCATTTTAATGGTAACAACTATTTGAAAATATTATTTATTTTGTTAAGACAACATTTTTAAAAAGTGGAGTAAATAGAACAATAAATACTTAATCATCTAAAATGACACGAATAAATCAAAGTTGTATTTACTTGGTAGGCATCAGATAAGTGACATCCTAAGATATATACTCTTTGATATTTCAAGTTTCCTCAGTATAGGCCCATGTTCACAGATAACATCAATTTCACAATTAACATCCCATTTCTAATGTCTCTTATTATCAAGCAACTAATTTTATAAATGTCAACTTCTCTTTTATTTGTTATGTTAATTGCCAGAGTCTCTGGCACTCAGCAAAGGTTAACATTACAGAAACACATTTAGAAAACACTTCTGAAATACAGAGTTTTTCATCAAAATGCTAGCTAATCACCTTAGAAGTGTGGATTTCTGCTTAGTATCACGGATCATTAAAATATATGGATATTCAATATGTTTAAGTATATTAAAGGGAATACATATGTCAGAGTGGAAAGATATTATTTAATATCTGCAATGGTTCACTAGTTGAAGTTCTAATGAAACTTTTCATGAAAATCATAAAAGGGAATTTAGTAATATTAAGTTAAATTACTTTGATTTATATGAATTTGCTTGATTTGGCAGGTTTTTAAATGCTGATTGTAAACTTTAGATGTATTTTAAACAAAATTACTATAATATATTAAATGTTAACTCAACTGATTACATTTTTGATATATTATGGCGATAAAGATGTGGGTAATAAACACAACAAGTGAAAATTTTGAAGTGAAAATTATTAAAACATTTTAAAATAAAATTTGAATTAATCTATTACAATTTTAATATGTGTATAGCTTATATCCAGAAATATCAATTTTAGAAAACTTCCAGATTTTGAAACACCTCTATGTTAGAATATATGTTCAAGTATATGTATTATTTATTGCAATATACTTTTTAACTCACATCTGGAAACACAATGTCTATCAACATAATATCTATAAATGGGGTGTGAATGAAAATGTATGGTACACCATTTCACATCTCTAATAATATGTAACTATTTTAATAGTTTTCAGTGTCTATCCATCTTCTATCTAAAAGTTCTAAATTTCTGGTTCAACAGAAAAGAGATATTATTAACATTCATATTTGTAAAGCTGAGTACTGTTTGTTGGGGAAAAATAAATTGATATAATAATTTGGAAAACAAACTATTTTATGCTTTTTAAAATAAACATGAAAAAAGCAGCTTATGATTTTTAGTAGGAAACTTTATTATGAAAGTTATGAAATTATACTTAGATTAAATAAAATTTGATCTTATTTTTCTAGAATATTTCTACTTGATATTAATAAAAAATGAACCACTTGATTATTTTGGAAGATGTAAATTTTTTCTGAAAATTGAAACAGTCCTTTGTGGTCGGGAGAAAGTATGTCTATGCTATCGTTGTTCATGGAATGAAATCAAATTTGAAGACCAGTTTTCTATAGGTACCACTAAACCTCATTCTTCTCGTGTGAAGAAACTGAACATTGGGTTTGCTAAGGTACTGAATGTATCAAGAAAACCTTTTATCTACACCATTTTATGTGTCACAGACTCTATCACTCTAATATAATGACAGAAAATCATTGAAACAAAAAAGCTTACTATCCTGCAATAGCAATAAAAAACACATTTACCCTGAACCAACACATCCATTATCTTGTAACATCAGGGATGTAAAAGAGAGAGAAATTGAGACTGCAAGACTCCTTAGCGTAACTTAGTGTTTCAGTATTTTCCATTGTTGTGATGTCAGTCAGATTAGGAAGAAGACAAAAATGGGATTTTAACCTAATTATTCATCACTCCAGTGTTGTTTTTCAAAATTTTCCATATAAAACCAAATAAAAAGTTATTTGACATGACATAAGCCACAATGCTTTGCATGTATTATAATCAAAATTGGATTTTTAAAAAAGTCCTTCAATTTAAAGAGAAAATATACAAATGTGTATTAAAAAACTATTGCTGTTGGCCGGGCACAGTGGCTCATGCCTGTAATCTCTGCACTTCGGGAGGCTGAGGCAGGCAGATCACGAAGTCAAGAGATTGAGACCATCCTGGCGAACATGGTGAAACCCGGTCTCTACTAAAAATACAAAAAAAAATCAGCTGGACGTGGTCGCGTGTGCCTGTAGTCTCAGCTACTCAGGAGGCTGAGGCAGGAGAATCGCTTGAACCTGGGAGGTGGAGGTTGCAGTGAGCTGAGATCGCGCCACTGCACTGCTGCTTGGTGACAGAGCAAGACTCTGTCTAAAAAACAAAACAAAACAAAACAAAAAAACCTATTGTTGTATAATACATATAGATAACAGTTGTATAAGCATGAATGCAATCTTTTTAATAATTTTAAGTTAATATTCCCATATTGTTAAATTCCCATATTATTCCCATATTGTTAAATTTTAAGTTAAAACATTTCCATTTAAATAAACCAAGAATAGACTGAAGTTGGTTTAGGTCACAGTGGCCAGATCCTGCTTTGGATTTAGCAGTAGCTGTGGTCTTAGAAAGTTGAATACCTGAAATATGATTTATGACAACCCCTAAAATGGGATGTGATTAATAATCAAATTGCTGCATTGTTTTTTGTAATAGCTAATCTGCATAGCAATGTTTATTTATGTACATGACATGTAACTTAGATTGATTGCCAGTATTTTTATTTCACTCTAAAATACAAATTTAAATTTTATATTTGACTAGGAACAAACGAATCTCCTTATATTTAATATTTTCAAATACTATAAGCAAATTGACAAAATGTATGTCTAATATTCAGCACCTTATATGTTCTGTACTCTGAGTTACATTTTTTTTTTTTTTCGAGACAGAGTCTCGCTCTGTCGCCCAGGCTGGAGTGCAGTGGTGCGATCTCTGCTCACTGCAAGCTCCATCTCCCGGGTTCACGCGGTTCTCCTGCCTCAGCCTCCCAAGTAGCTGGGACTACCGGCGCCCGCCACCATGCCTGGCTAATGTTTTGTATTTTTTAGTAGAGACGGGGTTTCACCGTGTTAGCCAGGATGGTCTCGATATCCTGACCTTGTGATCCACCCGCCTCGGCCTCCCAAAGCGCTGGGATTACAGGCATGAGACACTGACTCTGAGTTACATTTTTTAAGGAAAAAATATAAAACTATTTTAATTGTTAAAATTACTAATTTTGAACAAGTACAATTGTTAGCTGCAAAATACTATTTCCACCCCACACTATTGTTAACTCCGCCTAGATTTTGTTGCCAATTAGAGACCAAAATAATATAGTTTCCTTAAAAGTACCATATATGTCTATACACAAAAATGGAAAAGAAAAATAACATGTGAAATGCTAAATTCCCAAGAAAATTGGTTAAGTAAGGCTTAGAATGTTTTTTGAAAATGATGAGGTTTATATCATTAACTTTAAACATAATAGAGGTTATGTTTTTCAGAACATCTGCTCCCAAATGTTTCAAAAATCTCTGGGATGTGGTTATGAATAAATACTTTGGATATTTATATTTCTTTCATTGTCTGTTGAATTGTTTATTTAAAAATATGTGGCCAAATACTGCAACAGCATCTAGTTGAAGATTCTAATATCAGTCACAATAGAATGTTAATAAATTGCAAACATTGTTATTCCGTGCATAGTTACATCAAAAGATATATTCAAAGTTACAGTTGTACATGGAGTATTTAAATAGTAATGACTATAGCAAAGAATCATAATTATGTAACTGATGTATGCAAAAAAATTTATTAAGTTTTTCCTTCAGCATAATCTATGCAGAGTCCCCTCCAGGGAAAACCAGCTTCTATTCAGAAAGTTAAATTTAATTGTTAATTATCATATACACTTCTCTGTAATAATCCTAATTAGTTTCTTAGTGACTGTACAACTAGCCTCAGAGCTGTCATCTTACCAGTCGACAAGAAATATTGTGATATTTTAACGTTCTATGAGGGCAACATTGCCGAAAACAAAGAGAAGACAAAGGTTGTTGAATGGCAATTGGCAATTCCGAACCAGGCAGTCTTTTCCCTTCTGCTCTATTAAAATGCTCAATACTGTTTAATGAAGGCTGTAATAAAATGTTGGAATTGCCTCCAGGAAAGCATTCAGTACGCTATGATAATTTTGCTTTACATTACACTTAGTTTTTTAAAACTACTTAAATTTCTCTCATTTAAATAATGTTTTGCCTTCATTTTTCAAGAAATTTACCTAAGGTGAAAAGTTTAAGCCTATATATTTTCCTAATACAACGTGAATATAAAACATGCTTACCTACTTGTCTATTTGGAACAGAACACCTACAAAAGGTTATAAAATATTTTGCAATTTTAGATTAGATCACAGGAATGGGCATTCAAGGTGAATTGAAATGTAATTCACTTGGTTTCTGTTGGAGTTCATAGCATGAGCTAGACACTTGACAATCCCTTCCCTCTCCAACATTAAATTTTTAAAATAACTTTATGAACACATGTTATTTTAATTATTGATATGTAGTATCATTTTAATATCCATATATTTATATATATATAACCCCAATGACTTTTTTAAAATTAATATTTACTTGGTATATTCGTACTCATACATGTATGTACATAGTATCAAAACTAAATCTTAATATCTATATTAAAACAGATTGATAGAATATTTCTGAATATTTAAAACATTTATAATTATTATGTAATAATTATTGGATTGATCAGAATAATAGTTACCTATAGGTGTCCAAATGGACAAGTGGATTCTAAAAGATTTTTCTTTAAATGCTGAAATAAATCCATTTTTACTTAAAAATAAATCGCTTTTAAAATATTTTCCAAACAAAAATATCTCAATGTTTAACAGTAACTAAATAATGCTGTTTACTTTTATGGTTATGTTTTCTACATACCCTCTATTTTCCTTTTATGAGATATATAACTATTTTTCGTTTATAAGAAAAATAAATCAATGTTTGTTTATATAATTTCTATAAACAAAGCACTTATTATTTATTTTATCACATGTATACAGCAAAACACCAACAAAATATCAAGGAATCAATTACCACACGTTATTCCTGATGTACAATGTAGTTAGATATTAGCATGTATGTAATTACACATAGCCCTTACACACACATATTTATAAATTTTAAAAGCTTTGGACTTCATGAAGCTGTGGAAAGGAATTAGTCTCTGGTGTAGTGTTACTGTCTTTGTGTCTGATGTTAGAGCCTGAAGCTTGAAGTCTATAAGGCATCAAGGAAAGAGAGATAAATTCAAGTAAGTTAGGGGAAAACAAGAAGCTGAAACCCACAAGCAGGAGCTAGTGCCCATAGGGACAGACTAACATCTATGTCAATATTTTCTGTTCTTGATCTCAGTAAGGTGTATATTTAGCAGAAGCCAGGGATCTTTTTTTTTTTTTATTATACTTTAAGTTCTGAGATACATGTGCAGAACGTGCAGGTTTGTTACATAGGTATACACGTGCCATGGTGGTTTGCTGCACCCATCAACCCATCGTCTACATTAGGTATTCCTCCTAATGCTCTCCCTCCCCAGCCCCCCACCCCCAGACAGGCCCCGATGTGTGATGTTCCCCTCCCTGTGTCCATGTGTTCTCATTGTTCAACTCTCACTTATGAGTGAGAACATAAGGTATTTGGTTTTCTGTTCCTGTGTTAGTTTGCTGAGAATGATGGTTTCCAGATTCATCCATGTCCCTGCAAAGGACATGAACTCATTTTTTATGGCTGCATAGTATTCCATGGTGTATATTTGCCATATTTTCTTTATCCAGTCTATCATTGATGGGCATTTGGATTGGTTCCAAGTCTTTGCTATTGTAGATAGTGCTCCAATAAACATATGTGTGCATGAGTCTTTACAGTAGAATGATTTATAATCCTCTGGATATATACCCAGTAATGGGATTGCTGGGTCAAATGGTATTTCTGGTTCTAGATCCTTGAAGAATCGCCACGCTGTCTTCCACAATGGTTGAACTAATTTACACTCCGACCAACAGTGTAAAAGCGTTCCTATTTCTCCACATCCTCTCCAGCATCTGTTGTTTCCTGACTTTTTAATGATCGCCATTCTAACTGGTGTGAGATGGTATCTCATTGTGGTTTCAATTCATATTTCTCTAATGACCAGTGACGATGAGCTTTTTTTCATATGTTTGTTGGCTGCATAAATGTTTTCTTTTGAGAAGTGTCTGTTCATATCCTTCGCCCACTTTTTGATAGGGTTTTTTTTTTCTTATAAATTTGTTTAAGTTCCTTGTATATTCTGGATATTAGCCCTTTGTCAGACGGATAGATTGCCAAAATTTTCTCCCATTCTGTAGGTTGCCTGTTCGCACTGATGATAGTTTCTTTTGCTGTGCAGAAGCTCTTTAGTTTAATTAGATCCCATTTGTCAATTTTGGCTGATACTGTCTCACAAGTCATTGATGTTCTTCTTCATTTTGTTTTCAGTCTTACATATATGTTTTATTTTCAAGTTTTAACTGTTTTTCTTCTATAAACTCTCTGGTTATTCTTTTCATCTATTGTTTGTTTGTTTTTTAATTCCAGAGACTTTATTTTTCATCTCCAAAATTTTGACTTGCCATCTTTTCCATAAGTTATGTTTTGTTTCTGTGTTTGTTTTGAGACAGGGTATTCCTCTGTTGCCCAGGTTGGAGTGCAGTGGCAAGATCTTTGCTCAGTGCAACCTCTGTCTCCCAGACTCAAGTGATCCTGCCACCTCAGCCTCCCAAGCAGCTGGGACTACAGGTGTGAGGCGCCATGCCTAGCTAATTTTTGTACTTGTGGTAGAGATGGGTTTTGGCCATGTTGTGCAGGCTGGTCTCCAACTCCTGAGCTCAAGTAATCCATCTGCCTTGGCTTCACAAAGTGCTAGGATTACAGGTGTAAGCCACCGCACCTGGCTGATGATCATTTTTAAACATACTTTCTGAGCATATCAAACAGATATTTATGATATCTGTTTTTATATCTTTTTCTTCTAGTTCCATTATTACTGTCACTTTTTTTGTTTCTAGTTATTGTTGTTTTATTTTCCTGATTATAGTTTATGTCATCCTTTTATTTTTTGAGCCTGAAAATGTTATAGGAAATGCTAGGAGGTGTCAATGTGATATTGTCAGATGCTAAATTTCTTTGTGTTCCCTTAAATAATATTGGACGTTTCATAATACACAGTTAAGTTGCCTGAATGATGGGTTTTTCTTCTACAAAGCTTTTAAGCTTCATTACAGAGGATACAGAGCAATGTTAGGCATAATTTAGTCCCACTAAAACTTAGATACATTTGAGGACCTCACCTCAACAATGTGCCATTACAGGGTCTCTGTGATAATCTATTAGATTTACAATTCTAATTTTTATATTTCAGTTCTTATTACATTTGATGTATACATTTTGATATGGTATCATGAAAGACTTCAGTTTTATATTTAAAACGTTTAGAGTTTTTTTATCATTGATTTTAACAATTTTTTTTCAAAACTCTCATTAAAATCACCTGTGATTTGTATTTCATAGTTTATCATCACTGGATGTGAAACCTCCATTTAGTGCCACTGCCCACATTATTACTATAATCACTTTTTGCCCTCTGGGGTTTTTGAAAGTTTTCTTTTTTAAAAACATGTACACCCAAACATGTGAAATTCCCTAAGCTTGTCACAGTGATCTCTAATATATTCTATTAGAAATGATCACTGTCTCCTAGGCTTTCAGTAATTTTAATTTCACTAATTTTTTTTCAACAGCTATATATTAATTGCCTAGCACATGAATATCTTATAAGGACAGAATTGTAGGAAAAGGAAACTTTATTCCTACCTGAGACTTATAGTATATTGAGGATTTTAGCCATTAACTTTTAAAATCACTTTTTTAAAATTTAAAAATCACAAAACTGTCTATACTTTAATGATCTGTACAATTTTGTTAAGCTTTTCATAACAAATGATGTTTATGAATGAAAATTTAGAAGTGATACAGCAAACACATAAAATGGGGCTACCTTAGACTGAGGGCCAGATTAGTGACTTCTCAGGTTATGTGACAGTTAATGTGCTGTATAACTATGCAACAAAATAATTATTAGAATGATTTTATACTATTATATTTGACTTGGTATTTTGTTTCATGGAAAATGAAGAAACAAAGTCATATATGATATCTATATTTATTCACATATTAATTTGTGCAGTTGTTTTAGTTGCTGAATAATTTTAACACCTTATCTGAGATGGAAAAAAGTGATGATATGTAGGAATACTTGAGAAAATAAAGTCGCTAAATTGACACCTTCTCTCCTTGAAAGGGAGGACGCTATGATGAGAAACATACTTTCCAAATCTTACCATCAGGGCCTCCTCCCATGTGGTGCTACCCCACTGCATATCTATGTAATACATGGCCTGTTCTCTGATCCAGAGACATCATCCTTTCTGTTAGAATTTCTGTCTATCTATGATTAACAAACATGTTAATTTACCATAACTCACTTATATGGAAGAAAACAGCTTTTTCTTAGATATACCTGGCTTTATATATGAAAGCTTTTACTATTTTGTATCTTTGTTTGCTGTTTCTAAAATTCTCTGTTATATATCTAAATAATACTTATTTATATAAGTGACTATGGTCAAGAACCTTCATGATCTGAGGTCTTTGCTCTTTCTATTTGTCCTACTTCTTGAAAGTATGCCAACAATTTTTTTTCTATCCAGTCTATCCTGTCTTTGGCTTAATTTTTCTTCAAAACTACTGTTCTTCCTTCTTGTTTCCAATTTTTATACCATCTTTTTAGATTTTAAAATGTTCAGCTTTCTTGTTCAATTGGTTTCATCCATTTGATGTTCAGTGGTGTGCTGTTGTGTTCATTTCATCAGTTTCATTTTTATTTCCTCTTTACATGTCTTACAACACTTTTTCCCATATGAATTTATTCCAACTTGCTTGATATACTCCATACCTAGGCTCATTATCCCTTCTGATAGCTGTAAGAAGAGACACTAAATTAACTCTAAAGTGTGTTAATCATATGAGTTAAAGAGAGGTGTATCTTTAGGATTGCAAATGAGCCCCTTCATTTCATGTAAAGTCTACCTCCAGGGTACCTCCAAATTTCTGCATCATATATCTCGTTCTTGTGTTTAGGTGCAGCTAGCCTCTAAATAATTCCCTATACCAAGGTTAGAGTAAAAGAGGGTTCAGAGGCGTGCAGTCCAGCCACCACCACCCTCTTGGCTACTCAATGTAGTAACAGTCCAGCATCTCCTTAATATTACCCTACCTGTTGTCTCTACTGTTTTGTTGCCTCCTGATATGAAAGGATCTGGCAAAATTCCAGGATTATAGGATCTGGGCTAATGATATAATCTGGGCCAGAAGTCGTAATAATGAAATCATTTTTATTGATTCATAATGCTATCAAGAGAATTTTGAACACCCCTACTGGCTCAAAAATGGAAGCTGATGTTTGAGTAAAACCTGAGACAGATTTTCAGCTTTGAACTCATAATCATTTTGTTATATCTCTAATCTTACGTTCTCACAGTCACAATATAAAGGACAGAAACAGAAAATCCAGAAACTATTTTTTCCCCAAGACTATTCTCAGCCCTTTGGTCCTCTAGTCCCTTTCAGGTCCATGCCTTCATTTCTCCACAGCAATTGTGGCCCACCTACTATCGGATTCTCAACTGTTTTTCACATGTTTCCAATCATTTTGACTTGATTTTCATCTAACTTTAAGCAATTTTTTCTGAAATTTCTGGAGTTTTACTTAACAATTGAAATGATTAGTGCTTTCATGCCAACTATCTTATTCTACTAAACATTTCAAATCTGAATCAACCAGAAAATAACTCAAAACTTTTGCCTTTATAAGCTGATGCTAAGAGTTAAATCACAGAACAAAATTATAGATGTTTCCACTTATAAAGTGGGAGCTAAACAGTGGATACACATGAAAATACAGAGTGGAGTAACAGGTACTTGGGAGTCAAAAAGGGAGGAGAGTGGGAGGGAAATGAGAGTTGAAAAATAACCTATTGGGTACAATGTTCCCTATTTGGGCATTGGGTTCACTAGAAGCCCAAACTCTAGCATTACACAATATATACCCTATGTAACAAACTTGTATATGTACCTCTCAATCTATAATTTAAAAAGAAAATAAATGAACACAATTTTAAACATATCAATATTGTGTCTGATGGACCACTGGTGGGCTGAGAGTTGTTATGATGCTATGTGAGGCTTAAATATTATAAGATAGAAATTTCTCACATTTTTCTTATCTTTTGACTAAATTTGGAGCTCTCAACTTTTTACACTTACTCTCAAGTTCACCCTACTGCCCTTCTTGAATGTGGCGTTTCACTCAGCATAAAGCTTTCACCTCAAGTCACCTAGATTGATTCTCATTGAATATGTTTATATTCTCCACTTTATGGATGTTTCTAAAAAGTCCTATACCAGCATTTTACTTCACTTGGTTCAGAATTTTGTTTTATTTTTCTCAACATCTTAGTCCCATTCATAATTTAAGTTTGGATTTCCTTCTTGCTTCTGAGAATTGATAATTATAATACACTTCTATTCCATTCTATATATTTATGATTTATTAGACTGAAGTTAAACAAAGAGAACTGACCTACTTCATAGATTGGGTGGATCAGGAACAATGAAGAAATAGTTATTTATTTGAGTCTTGGTTCTAAAGGAACTTGAGAATCTAAATTAAGAGGCAGAATATAAGTTAAATTGGAACATTGAGAAATGAAGTTTATACTTCTATGGATAAAACAATTAAAATTTACAATGGGTGTTACATGGAGCCATCAATGTGCTTCAACTCTCAAAAATGTATGCAATTTTCACTCTTCACTCAATGTCTAGAAGAAGGAGGATAATGGTTCAGTTTTAGGCTGTTCGTATCTGTGAGATATACTGGTAAAACTTATAAATCTCTGCACAGTGTTGTCTATCAAGTCAAATGTGTCAAAGAGCAAAGATCACCAACTCTGACAAAATGGGAAATAAAATGATGAAATGAGGATATTTAACCCAAGGAAGGCAAAAGTAATGTAAAATATAATGCTTGTTTTCAAATAAATGAAACATTGTTTGATAACAATAAATTTGCTTCCTCAGAGGAGGAAATAATTAGTCTATAATATGTAACAATGGATATGAAAATGAGTCTATAAAAATGAGTTTGGAAAGTAAACTACCAGAAAAAAAGGAACCAAATTAAGAATTCAATCCTACAAAATGGAATACCAAGGGATGACATATTTATTAATAGAAGTCAAACACATAAACTTTCAATCATAGAATGGGTCCATTGTATACATGTCACGTACAACTAGGAAACAAAAAAGTATAAATCTATTGGTCAGTGATGTGGCATAATTTTCAGCAGGTAAATATTTGAGCTTACCTAGTGAGGGTTTAGATTTAATCTGTGCCATCACAAATATGTATATATGTAATGGGGTTCATTATTATAGGAAAATAGGGTTAAAATCAATAATGTTCCCTCAATTAGAGAAGTCAGAAAAGTGAATGGATTATCTTAGGAGTTTGTGAATTCTTTATTCCTTTATTCCAAGTTGAGTGAAGGAGGAAAAGAAAATCTAGAGTTTCAGCAATGCTTTGCTTCCAGTCTATACTGTTTTTAGAACCAAGAGGGAACAGTCTATGTTGGAGATTTAGTGAGTCCACTTCTTTGAAAAACAGAGGTAAGAAAAATGCGAAGAAGCTTAAAAATGTATTGATCCTAAACCCATTATTAAAAACACCTCATAGAATTTCAACCTATTTGTGGATAGCCTATCATATGCAGCTAAAATGGTAATCAGATAATTCAACCACACTCATAGTTACTTCTCTAAATTAGTTTGAGCTTCTGACTGACACTGTTATTCTTATTAACGAACCTGCTTCCCTCATGATGTAAAGAGCTACATGCAGCCTACCAAGCCTGGCCTAAAATCCTTGAACTCATCCACTCCAGGAATTTTAAATGCATTCCACTTTAGCTTTATATCCCATTGCCACATCAATATATTGTCATAATCCAGAAATACACAATCTTTGATATCTTAAATTGCAATATTCTACTTGATATAATACTACTACTTTTTCAACTAAGTCTGTTAAATTTATTACCCCAATATACTTAGTCTTCTAATGCTTTTAATGAATTATACTATCCATATAACTTTGCATAATGTAAATGAACAAATTAAACAAGAAAACTTAAGCACACAAGTATATGAGAAAATGAACACTCAAGCAAACAAGACTAACATGAAAGCACAAGCATAAAAGAAGCACGTATATATGTATGTATGTATATATATAGTCTCTATAGTATTTGTTATATATTTTATACAAATCAATGTATTTTGTATATTTAAAATATATTAGTATATAATATAGAAATAATATGTGTAAAATGTGTGTGTGTGTATACACACACACACGTTTTTCCTAGTTTGGAAATCACCTCTTTACATCTGCCTCATAATTGCTATTTTACGTAGCACTTTCTATATTCTAAGCCCTATTGTAGATCCAAAGGGAAAGAAACAATATTAGTAAAAAAATAAAATAAAGAATTACTTTTACTTTGTTGCTCTTACAATCGTGTGTGTTTTGGAGCAAGAAAAAGCATAAAATTACTTAAAATGCATTGATTGATAACTGGTAATGACTACTATGCAAAAAATGACAAGGCATTGCCACAGGAAGTGCTGATTGAAAGGGACTTTCAATTTTAAATGTGTTTTTCAGAGTGATCTCACTGAGAAGCTAAAATGTGCACATCCACTCGTATGTCATTCATTAGAGAAAAATACTTGGCCTCACCTAACTTTACAGTAATCCTCTCCTGTGCACAAAATTATGAGAGAAATGGATATTGGCAAATAAAAAACACTTCCATATAAAGTAATTACTGCTGTAAGACAAGATGACACACGTAGCTGAGAGATTACTGGAAATAAGAGCAGTTTAGAACCATAAAACGTGCTGCTTAAGATAGAAAATTGTAAATTAATAAGACTGGGGGAAAATGTATTTGAAATGTACAGTGCTAAACACTAGATAAAATACAACTTGAAAAGATAATCTTTTCAAGAATCTTTTCTATAGGAGATAAAAATCAAGACTGAAAAAGAGGCAACACAGTATCACTTACTGTAAATTGATTTTGACACAACCAAACTTCTCTATGTGATGTTTATATGTATATGTGATTATCTGTTTTCTAGTTTTTTTTTCTAGTATATCAGGAAATTTTGTAGTTACAGAACTTAGCAGAATCTCTGAAATGCAGCAGGCAATAAATAATGACTGTTGTTAAATTGACAAGTAAATGGATGAACAAATTTACTTTAGTGGTACCAGTGAAATCAGGCTTCAAAAGTATCATTTTTTTTTCATATTCCAGTTTGAAAGGATGAAATAGCAAAAACTTGTTTATTTTCAGTTGTGTGTATATGTGAGAGAAAGATAAAACACAAATTGTTTTAGTTTATTTTCTTTAGCCTTCAATACTGGTAAAAGAAATCTACTTATATATGTGCTATGTATATTTTAAATGGATTTTCAAATAGTAGCATAGAGATTTTTGTCTTGAGTTCTTACTTTTTAAGGTATACTCAAACACTTTTGTGTCAGGCAGGAGTTAAAAGGTTTCACATTTTAGTGTCTGATAGGATTTAACTGTAGGATAAATACAGTTAAAATCATTTATTTATATGTTCAAAAAGCTAGAAAATAGGATTTTTACTGTCCCCAACACAAAGAAATGATAAATGTTTGAGGAGCTGAATTTGTTAATTACCCTGATTTGATTATTACACATTATATTCATGTATTAAAATATCACTCTGTACCTAATAAGTATGTACAATTATTGCTATAAGTAAAAATAAAAGAGAGAAAAGATTTTAAGATGAAGATATTACCACAAATTTACTACTTAAAAAAAAACAGGTGAAGATTTTTGAAAAAAACAAAAAGGAGTAGCTTTGACTAGTGAGCGGAAATTGCTCTGACCACCCAGTGACGCAGACTGCAATTGCTGAAACATTAACAATGAGAAAGGCAGCTGAGAAAATTACTAAAGTGGACAGTCACAAAATTCATTTCCAGTCCATTAGAACATGGCACATCCAGCTAGATTTTAACCAATGACTGAGATTCCCATAAACTATGAAAATGCTCTTTAATTCAATTATAGGATTTCAACTGATGAAACAGGCTGATTTATTGCACACTTTTCAGCTGACACCAAAGGTCCATTGAAGGAGTGGTGAAAGCACAAGGAAGCCTGAGGCAGCTTGGCTTCTTTGGCTCCAGGCCAGTGCCCACTAGCATGCCACTTGTTGTTACTGCAATGCAAATGCCTGCAATCCAGGCACTTACTGCAGCTGAATTAATAGAGGAGAAAAACAACAACAACAACAAACACACACACACACACACACACACACACACACACACACACCAGCCGGATCGCCATTTAGAAAACAAATCTTGGTATGCTCAATGGCACTTTCAGCTTCTAAATAAGAAATATAAGTAGATTAATTCAGCAGTGCCAAAGAAAACACAGCATATTAAAATCTACCTGGAGGATTTTGTGAAGTGGTATATGACTTAAAAAAAATTCTGAAAGAATACAAAGAATATTTACTTCTCCCTCACCCAAGTAGCTTACATTACACTTAAAAAATTTATTTCTATTAACAAGATGCATTTTATAAATTAAGAATTAAGCAAATGAAAATGGAATGATTTTAATCATTTCAAAAAATCTTAATTAGTATTTTCAAGGTAACCTAAAATAAGTAAATAAATAAATAACTACAATGAACTAGAATTAACTCTATATCTCAAATAAAAATTTGTAATCGTTTATCATTTTCTAATGACATGTTCTGAGTTTTATGATTTGTGAACAAAAATAAACCCCTTAAATTTATAACTGTTTTACCTTCAACTCCTGATTAAATACACACACAGACAAACTAAATTCTAAAAATACTTCTACATTTCAAAAATTTGCAACAAAATAGAACATGTATTATCAAAAAATACACAGATGCTGGGAAAGTTTCATTCTTCCCCTTATTGAGTATGTATAAATTGTATTTTTCTTTGTGTTGTTTGTGTACAGACACTGATAGAGACATTCATACTATTTAAGAAAAATTTCCCAGCCATATTTTTTATTGAAAGAAATGATAGTATTGTGTTCCTGTGTCCACCTGAAGTTAAGAATGAATCTGTGAGTTGTTTTGGCCAATGGCATGATAGTTTAAGTGGTGAAAGACATTTCTGTGCAGTAGCATTAAGAATTACTGTACTGTTTATTCTGTGAGTGTGTTTTATTTTTCCCCATCTTGATGGTTTTGGAAGCATAGCGAAGATGAAATGAGAATCAGTCAGTAAAACAAAATGTATCTGAGACAGGTCTCTATCAATTTTGAAGTTTATTTTGCAAAGGTTAAGGACATGCTCAAAAAACACATCTGTGCCTTTCTCCAAAGATAATTTTTGAGGGCTTCAATATTTAAAGGGGAAAAGCAGCCTGGAGGGGAAAGTGGGAGGGTATGGTCACATTACAAAATCCACATGTTGTAAGAGAAAAGGAGCACATAGGGGAATAGTCCATTAGGTATTCATCCCATGCTCAGTGAGTCAGCACTTTACATAAGACAAAGTGAACACAGAGTAGCTACCTGTGAAGATATTCAACCTTTTATCTGTACCTATCTGCTTAGGAACCAAAAGAAAGGCAGCTTCTTGCATGACTCAGTTTCAGCTTAATTTTTCCTTTTGGCATCTTGAATTGGGGTCCCACATTTCTATTTTCCTTTTACATTTCACCTCCCTCTTCTTTTTGAAATCTTCGAGAGAAAGCATTTTAGAAGAAAATTAGTCTCTGGTCTTGGGTTTTGTCTAATCTCTCATGTATAGGACAGTTTTTTCCTAGACAAACAGGTCCTACATGGTTGGGAAGGCTCGTTTTTAGCAGATTGTAAAGTTTCACATCTTACAAAGAAAAAATAGAGGGAGAAAGAGAGAAAGAAACAGAAGAGAAAAAGAAGAAAACAACAAACAACAAAAAAGGAAGAAAATCCTGGAAAACTGATATAAGCCGTTTTACTCTGAAGTCCATACATCAATAGGTATCAAATTCATTTATGTATACAAAAAAGTTACTGTTATTTTCTTCTGACATTTAAGTTGCCTAGCTTTAGTGTTTCAAATCAGGAAAATGGAAAACAAAGAGAAATAATTAAAACATTATTTTGGAGACTTGTGGCAAGGAGAACTTTCAGAATTCAGTCCAAATTGTAAAATAATAATAATAATAATAGAAAATCACTGCACAAGGCTAGAATCCAATAATGAGTGCACTATAGTTCATTTAGAAACATTTTTTTCTCTTCAATTCCCCAATTTTATTAAAGATAAAATCACAGTAGGGCTAATTTATTTTTAAAATAAGTTTTAGTCGTATTATTCTTGGCTTGATTATTTGTGTAATGTGTGGCAAAAATAATCATTTGCTAATAGGCTTTCTCTCTCTCTCTCTCTCTCTCTCTCTCTCTCTCTCTCTCTCTCTCTCTCCCCCTTCTCTCTTTTAATTGGCTTTGCTGGAATCATTTCCAATAAGAAATCTAAGATTACACATTTTAAAAAGCCTCAAGCGCAGCTAAGGATTTATCTGTGCCTACAGATACCTGTATGAATTGAATGTATTCTTCCCTTTTCAAGGTCCCAAGAAAATTTGAAATCCCTGGTCCTATCAGAGAGTGACATTCTTTACTTATGACAGGTCAGGACCTTGTAAAGGACAAGATATGGGGCCAATATTTCCAAGGGGCCTTTACTGGCCCTATAGGTAAGCCTCATTTTCTCAAGGTAATCTGAAAATATGTCATTCTAGCCAAAGCCTTGGTAAAATAATGAGTGACTCCAATTATGCCCTATTATAAAAGAAAACAGATTCCTATTGAACTTCTGCAAATAACTATATTGCCATAAACTAATAATAATTGCATATAGTTTCCAAATTTGGGAGAAATTAGATAGAGAGAAAAGAATTATGCTTTAAATTTTGCTCACTAGAGTATACTTCACTAAATTGTATAAAGCTATAAATAGTTTGAAAGAAAAAATATTTTCTTTACTGAAAAACAAAACAAAAGGAATCAGCAAATGTTTTAAACAAAAAGTCATAAAAGATTATTTTACTCTTCTGTTAGTTCAGTCTCTGCAATTGACTCCTGTTCTGCTCTATATTGGATCAAAAATCCTCATGAATACATCAGCTCCATGAGAGCCCTGGAAAATTTTCTGTCTATTCCAACGTTACAATCTCTAAAATTACCAGAAACCTATATTTAACAGTACTCCTTAGACTTCTATAGCTGATTATAAACTGCCTTATTAAGGGATTAAAGTAAAATGTCTTAGAACAGCTATAGTTAAAGATACAATTGACAAGGAAATTTAGTTACTTCTGTGTCATACAACTATTTTACATGATAATAATAATTACTATTGATAACATATACTAAAACATATTAGAGTCACAGGAATCTCATATAATCTTGTAATAAATACTACTAACACATTTATATAAATGTAATCCAAAGATGGTTAAACATCATTTTATATTTGACAATGCTTTCTATATGATTTTATTACATCAAATAAGCCAAATATTTATTTTTGGACTTCAAGGGACTGATTAATCCTTAATCCCATCTGCCCTAAGAACAAAGAGCCTGTAAACCAATAAATTGGGTGGAGCCCGGGAGCTCTGGGCTATGAGCAAGCCACCAACTCTGGTCCCCTGGACCCACCTTTTAAATGGTTATTCTGTCTCTTTCTAACTCTTGTCTCTGCCAGACTTGGGATACCTGCTGGGTGGTATGGGGCTGGTTTCCCCAACATCTGGTGCCCAACGTGGGGCTCCCCATAAACTCTACAAATAATCAGGTGAAGAAATACCAGAGCATGGAAAGTGGAGGACGACTGACGAAGGATGCTTGAGTACGTTTTTCACTTCATGCTCTATGGGTAAGTAGGGCCCTCAGAGAATTCCAGGGTAACCTCAGGAAAATATGGGTCAGGCTGAAGGTAAGTTTGCTAATTATTTAAGCCTGGTGCAGCAGTTATTGCACCGCAGGGGGTGGTAATTGTGAGTACCCAAAATCTCACATCTTTGTTCCATCTCATAGAAAAGTATTCTCCTTGGTTCCTGGAATACAGAACCATGAATGTAAAAGATTGGGACAAGGTCAGAACAGACTTAAAACGAGCACAGTAAGAGGGCCATGATATTCCCTTCTCCACTTGGTCTGTGTGATCGGCAATTAAAACAGCATTGGAGCCCTTCCACACTGAGAAGGAGGATGAGGAGTTTCAGGATGACAGAAAAGTTTAATAATCGGGAGTCTGATGATCAGCAAAGTGAACCATCACAGTCTAGTTTAAAAAAGGGGGAGAAACGGGAAGCTATATATGCTAACCTCCAAAAACTTATCAAAGAAACAGTTCCACCTACTGCAGAAACAGTGCCACCTACTGCGCCTTTAGGGGAAGGTCCAGAATGGCCACTCCCACCTCAGCCTTATGAATTTTTGGAACAGGAGCCTGAGACGCGGCTTGCCACTCCCATTGTTGCATGCCCCACCATTAACTATGGTGAAGGAAAGCTTCAGGCTTGCCCAACAGCCAGTTACGGTGAGGGAATGATCCAGGCTTGTCCACCTGTTAATTATGGTAGAAGAATGCTGCAAGCTGGCCCAAATACAAATTATGATGCAGGGATAATCCAGGCATCCATTCACCAGGCACGAGAAATGGGGGATTTGGATGGTTGGCAGTTTCTGGTAATTATTTCGCCAGCTGAGAAGCCTGGAGAACATGCTCAAGCATGCTGGTAGCCATTTCCTTTTAAAATATTAAAAGACTTAAAGCAAGCAATTGGACAATATGGGCCAGATTCTCCTTGTGTTCATTCCTTGTTACAATCTGTGACTTATAACCGGCGTTTAAAACCCATGGATTGGGAGTCATTAGCCTGATCAACCCTGTCCCCCTCTCAATTTCTCCAATTTAAAACCTGGTGGATGGACGAATCAACAAATCAGGCATGCAGAAATGCTCAAGCCCAAACTCCCGTTAATATCACATCTGATCAACTGCTTGGAATTGGACAGGCATGGGGTACTCTAAATCAACAGATGGTAATGGGTGATGAGGCTGCTGATCAGCTCAGAACTATATGCCTAAGAGCCTGGGAAAAAATTCACTACCCTGGTACTACTTATCCTTCTTTTAACTCAGTTCGACAGGGTCCAAGTGAGCCTTATCCAGATTTTATCACCCATTTGCAAGATGCGGCTCAAAAGGCTATTTTGGATTCTCATGCCAGGTAAGTGATCATTCAGCTGCTTGCTTATGAAAATGCAAATACATAATGTCAGGCAGCAATTAGACCTATTAAGGGAAAGGCAGATCTAAATGAGGAAAAAACATTAAGTGAATACATTAAAACCTGTGATGGCATTGGGGGGCACTTATAAGGCCAGTCTCCTTGCTCAGGCAATGGCTGGACTAAGGGTAACAAAAAACACATGAGTGTTCCCTGGATCTTGCTATAATTGTGGAGAGATAGGACATACGAAGAGTGTACAAAGAGCCAAAAAAGGCAAAACTCAGGAGGAAAAAGCAGCGAACCAGGTACCTGTCCTAGATGTAAGAAAGGAAAACACTGAGCTAATCAATGTCATTCAAAGTTTGATAATAGCAGACAGCCCTTGCCGGGAAACAGACAGAGGGGCCAGCCCCAAGCTCTGATTCAAAACGGGGCATTCCCAATTCAGGACAGGACATCCCTGACTCCAAACAGAGTGTTCCTGGCACAGTCTATCCCTGTACAAATGTACAGCAATTGTCCTCCTCCACAGCTAAAGGCAGGGCAGTAGATTTATGCTGTACCAAAGCTGTATCCCTCCATCCTGGGGAGCCTCCTAGGAAGGTCCCAACGGGAGTTTACAGCCCATTGCCAAATGGCATGGTGGGACTTACACTGAGAAGGTCCAGCTTAAACTTAAAGGGAATTCAAGCACATACTGGAGTAGTACTTACATACTGATTCTTGTTAACTTATGGGGGAGAGATCTGCTTCAGCAATGGGGCACAGAAATTTCAATCCCTTCTCCCTGGTATGGTGAAGCTCATCAAAAAATAATGTCAAACATGGGCTATATTCCTGGAAAAGGCCTAGGAAAACAGGAGACGGGCATTATTGGACCCATACAGGTTACTGTAAAAAATGACCAAAAAGGATTAGGTTACCATTTTTAGGGGTAGTCATTGTTGGGCCTCCAAGTCCTATTCCCTTAAAATGGAAGACGCAAAATCCTGTTTGGGTTGAGCAGTGGTTGCTTTCTCAGGAAAAATTGGGGGCCTTACAGGAATTAGTCAAAGAGCAATTAAACAAATGAAACATTGAGCCAACATTTTCTCCATGGAATTCGCCAATGTTTGTAATAAAGAAAAAAGCTGGCAGATGGGACATGCTAAGTGACTTACAAGTGGTCAATGCAGTCATCCAGCTGATGGGGGCCCTGCAGCTGGGGCTTCCTTCCCCCACCATGATTCCTAGAGACTGGCCATTAATAATTATAGATGTGAAGGACTGCTTTTGAAGTATTCCTCTAGCAGAGTCTGATTTTGAGAAATTTGCTTTTACTATTCCTGCCGTGAACAACAAGGAACCAGTAGCCAGATATCATTGGAAAGTCCTGACACAGGGCATGTTGAATAGTCCTACTATTTGTCAAACTTTTGTGGGGAAGGCTATTCAACCTGTGAGAGATCAGTTTCCCAATTCGTATATCATTCATTATATGGATGACATATTGTGTGCGGCCGAAAATCGAGACCGACTTATCCAGTGTTATTCATATTTACAGGAGGTGGTAGCCAATGCTGGGTTGCTCATAGCACCAGATAAAATTCAAATGGCCACTCATTTCCAATATTGGAGAATGCAGGTTCAGGAAAGGGCAATTAAACCCCAAAAGGTTCAAATTCAAAAAGACTCTCTGAAAACTTTAAATGATTTTCAAAAATTATTAGGGGATATCAATTGGATTCAACCTACTTTGGGAATCCCTACCTATGCTATGTCTAATCTGTTCTCTATTTAAGAGGAGACCCTGCTCTCAATAGTAAATGAGAACTGACTCCTGAAGCTGCCAAAGAATTACAAATGATTGAAGAAAAAAATACAACAGGCCCAGGTTAATAGAATAGACTCAAGTTTACCATTACAGTTCATTGTGTTCCCTACTCTCCATTCTCCTACAGGGGTTATAATTCAGAGTGAAGACTTAGTTGAATGGTCTTTTCTGCCTCACAATACTGTTAGAACACTCACAGTATACTTGGATCAGATGGCAATCTTGATTGGGCAAGCTCACCTTAGAGTTGTTAAACTTTGTGGCTCAGATCCAGATAAGATTATAGTTCCAAAGATTAAAAATCAGATTTGGCAAGCCTTTGTTAATTCGGTCGATTGGCAAATAAATTTAGCTGGATTCATTGGAGTTATTGACAATCATTATTCAAAAAACAAACTTTTTCAGTTTTTAAAGCTAACAACATGGGTCCTTCCAAAAATTACCCCTAGTGCTCCATTGGAAGGAGCAGTTAACTGTGTTTACAGATGGATCTAGCAATGGAAAAGCAGCTTATGTAGGACTCAAAAACAGAATTATTCACACTGACTTTCAATCAGCACAGAGGGCTGAATTAGAGGCAGTTATAGCTGTGTTAGAAGACTTTAAGCAACCTGTAAAGATTGTCTCTGATTCAGCTTATGTTGTTCAAGCCACTCAATATATAGAAACTACACTCATTAAATATCTTGTGGATGAACAACTCTATCAGCTGTTTTCTTCTTTACAAAAGGCAGTGCATGATCGCTGTTTTCCTTTCTATATTATGCACATTCAAGCAAACACTAATCTTCCTGGGCCCTTGTAAGGGATAACGATCAAGCTGATTTACTAGTTTCCACTATGCTTACTAATGCCCAAGATTTTCACTCCCGAACACATGTTAATGCAGCAGGACTTAAACAAAAATACCAGATTACTTGGAGACAGGCAAAGGACATTTTGCAACATTGCCTTCAGTGCCAGGTACTACAACTGCCACATGAAGGGACTGGTGTTAACCCATGGGGATTAACCCACAATATGTTGTGGCAAATGGACATAACCTACGTACCTTCATTCAGGAAACTTTCATACGTCCATGTTACTATAGATACCTTTTCTCATTTTGTATTGGCAACTTGCCAAACAGGTTAGGTGGTTGCTCATATTAAAAGACATTTACTTTCCTGTTTCGCTGCCATGGGCATCCCACAAAAGATTAAAACAGACAATGGCCCAGGCTACTGCAGTAAATCTTTACAAGTGTTCCTTCAACAATGGCACATTGAGCACAGTACTGGAATACCCTATAATTCTCAAGGCCAAGCCATTGTTGAACAGGCTAATCGAACCCTAAAATCTCAATTACAAAAACAAAAGACAGAGGGGGGAACCAGAGAATACTCTACTCCCCATATGCAGATACAATTGGCTCTTATCACTTTAAATTTTTTGAATTTATCTAGAGATCAGGTTACAACGGCAGCAAAGCAGCATTTGACAGGGCAAAAAATAAATTCTCATGAGGGAAAACATGTGTGGTGGAAGGATGTCAGAACCAAAACCTGGGAAAAAGGCAAAATCATTACAAGGGGTCAAGGGTTTGCTTGTATCTCACCAGGAGAGAATCAGCTTCCTGTCTGGGTACCCACAAGACATCTTAAGCTGTGCCATGAGCCAGAATCCAAGGAAGAGGAAAAGACCTCGGAACATCCCTGCACCCCCAGTTCGTCAGATGGCTCAGAAGAACGTCTCTGTTGAGCAGATGGAAACTGTAAAGCTCGCCAAGCAACTCCACCGACCTGGGGGCAGATGAAGAGAGTAGCTCCCATTGCAGAAGAGAACCTGAGGTCTCAGAACAAGCCACTGACCATCAGTAATCTAATGGTAGCTATGATGGCAGTAATCTCCCTGGCAGTGAGTCTCGCCGTAGCTGAGACAGATCAAAATTACACTTATTGGCCGTACGTTCCATTCCCACCACTGATTAGGCCTGTTACATGGTTAGACTCCCCGGTGGAGGTTTATGTTAATGATAGTGTCTGGATGCCTGGACCAACAGATAAACGAGGTCCTACTCATCCAGAGGAGGAAGGAATGTTAATGAATGTTTCCATTGGTTATCACTTTCCTCCCATCTGCCTAGGGCTGGCAGCAGGATGTTTAAATTATAATAAACAAAGTTGAATGGTTTATGTCCCTGCACATAATGGATCAAAAGCCTCTATTCATGCAATCAGTGGAAGAACATTTCAATCTTGGGACACTACAAAATACCTTGAGCACAGCTATGTTATGACACATCACCAGATTAATAAATTTAAACCTAATAAAAAGCCCTGCCTTAGGCAGGCCACTAAATTGTCTGGAAAGCTAGAGGGGCTAACCTGGGAAGATTGTATTGCAAACAGCGCTGTTGTACTGCAAAATAATTCCTATGGAATCATCATTGATTGGGCCCCTAGGGGACGCTTTGCAGTAAATTGTACTGGACAGCATGAAGATTGCAGAGAGATTCCTTTTGCAAATGACTACCCAGATAATGCACCAAAATTATATAGAAGAATTGAAACAAATTACTCTATTAAGTGGGAGGAGAACGGTATGGCTCTTCCAAGACCGAAAATGATTGATCCAATTATAAGTCCAGAACATCCAGAACTATGGAAATCAATGATGGCTCAAACCCCAATTCGGATTTGGAAAGGAGAAAATAAAACAGAAACCCATAGTAAAAAACTTCGATTTGTTGTAGCCATGACCTCTAATCGGACAGTCCCATTGCAGAGTTGTGTTAAACCTCCTTTTAGGTTGGCAGTGGAAAAAATTAATATCCTACCTGACTCTCAAACCATATCATGCCTCAATGGTCATCTTTTTTACCTGCATTAATTCTACCTTTAATAAAGATAATAACATTTTACTGGTTAAGTCCTGAGAAGGAATTTGGATACCTGTTTCCCTCAATAGACCTTGGGAGGCCTCTCCTTCCATACATATTATCACTGAAGTACTAAAAGGAATACTTAATAGATCAAAGAGATTCATATTTACTTTAATAGCTGTGATCCTGGGCCTTATAGCTGTTACAGCTACTGCTGCTGCTGCTGTTGCTTTGCACTCTTCTATTCAAACTGCAGGCTTTGTGGATAGTTGGCAGAAAAATTCTTCTAAGCTTTGGAATTCCCAAAGCCAAATAGATCAAAAATTGGCAAATCAAATTAATGATCTCTGTCAAACAGTAATTTGGATGGGAGATTGGATTATGAATTTGGAGCATAGAATTCAAATGCAATGTGATTGGAATACTTCTGATTTTTGTATTACTCATAGCTCCTATAATGCCACTGAGCACCATTGGGCGATGATTAGACATCACCTGCAAGGAAAAGAAGATAATTTAACATTAGATATTGCTAAACTGAAGAAAACAAGTTTTTGAGGCATCTCAGGCTCATCTCACCCTGTTGCCTGGAGCTGACATTCTTGCTGGAGCCGCTGATGGCCTTTCTAATACCAATCCTTTAAAGTGGAGTAAAACCATAGGTAGATCAACAATTGCAAATTTTATTTTGGTTTGTGTCTGTTTATGCTGTTTGTTTTTAGTCTACAAATGCGGACAGCGCCTTGGGAGAGAAGCCAGATACCGTGAACGAGCCATGGCATAGCAATGGTGGTTATTAATTTAAAAAAAAAAAAAAGACAAAAAAGGGGGACATGTGGGAAAGAGAGTTTCTGGGATGCCAGTTGAGTTGGTCTCCCCTGTGTGAGACACCCATGGGAAGCCATGGGCAGCCTCTGAGGAGAAAAGTCTCCTTATTGCCTTCATGTCTTTATGCCCCAAGAACATAACCGCTCAGCGGCATTCCACAGGTTGCTCAGGGAGATAAAACTCCCTTGAAGCAGTGAAGTATAATCAAACATC
The DNA here is from genome assembly GCF_000001405.40 of Homo sapiens. Lineage (NCBI taxonomy): Eukaryota > Metazoa > Chordata > Mammalia > Primates > Hominidae > Homo > Homo sapiens. The sequence continues at coordinate 84,876,944 of NC_000013.11, forward strand.
TTGGCTCCTCCTGAAACCATTCCCACCCATTTCATTCCCAATAAGTTAAAGATCTTAAGTAGTTTAGACACACGCCTTTGCTCAAGGAAATTCACAGAAACTGCCACTGCTATACATCTTATTGAATGACTCAGAGTTCTCCTTCACTGATTAATCCTTTTCCTCATCCCTTCCTCCCCCTCCCATCTGCCCTAAGAACAAAGAGCTTGTAAACCAATAAATTAGGGGGATTCCTGAGAGCTCTGGGCCATGAGCAAGCCTCTAATGCTCCAGTTCCCTGGACCCACCTTTTAAATGCTTATTCTGTCTTTTTCTAACTCCTTTGTCTCTGCCAGACTCAAGGTACCCACTGTGGTGTGGGGCTGGTTTCCCCAACATTATTTTACTCTTTTGTTAGTTCAGTCTCTGCAATTGATTCCTGTTCTGCTCGATATTGGATCAAAAATCCTCATGAATACGTCAGCTCTCCATGAGAGCCCTGGAAAATTTTCTGTCTATTCCAATGTTACAATCTCTAAAATTATGAGAAACCTATATTTAACAGTGATCCTTAGACTTCTATAGCTGGTTATAAACTGCCTTGTTAAAGGATTAAATTAAAATGTCTTAGAACAGCTATAGTTAAAGATACAATTGACAAGGAAATTTAGTTCTGTGTCATTCAACTATTTTACATAATAATTATAATTACTATTGATAACATATACTAAGACATATTAGAGTCACAGGAATCTCATATAATCTTGCAATAAATACTACTAACACATTTATATAAATATAATCCAAAGATGGTTAAACATCATTTTATATTTGACAATGCTTCCTATATGATTTTATTACATCAAATAAGCCAAACATTTATTTTTGGACTTCAAGGGACCTACTAACAAAAAATTAATGAGGTCAATAGGACTGAATTTAGCACGTGATTTTAGAAAGTTCATCAAACATAAAAAGTTTAAAACACTTGACATCACAGAATAGGATCACAGGTCACTGTAAAATAAGTCATTCATTTAGCCAAAGTAAAAACTCAAAGATTTCCCCCTAAAAAGCAAAAACCTTTATTATTTGAGACAGGAGAATTAATTTCCCAAGCAATAAGCTCTAATAAAAACACCATGAGACTAGTTGAATCTGTCTCTCAAATGTTATAAACAAATCTATTTAATTTTAATTACCTTGACCCTAAGATATAATTTCCATAAATCTTTTTATAAAATTTTATACTTTTTTTAAAGATTTGGTTAATGCTCCAAGAAAGGCTTATTATTCTGACTCAGGGGCCTATATGCTGCTCTTGCATCAGTGTGCATTTGATATTAATGTTAAATTTATAGAGAAACTGAGTTAATTTTATCTCTCAAAATGGGCTATTACAATCTCATGTGACTACCTCTTCTGCAATAGTATCTGGGTCTACAGGGGTTCAATAGTTTTAATTTCTGGCTCTCTGTCTCACAAAGGCAGTTTATTTTGATTGTCATCATCTCTCAGTTCTGATGAAGGCTTTAACTGCTGTGAATGCTTAATATTTAGCAGTACTTGGTGTCCTTTTTAGACCCAGGAGTCAAAGTACTGTAATGTAATAGCACAGGACTCTAAAAGCAATACAGAAAGTTACATGGATATAAAAGGCTTAATTTTTTAAAGTTTTTAATTATTTGTTTTTAAGTTATAATTTGTTTTAATTTAAGTTTTCCTAGGGAAATCAAAACTTAGTAAAAATGACATAGAAATTATTTCAACAAAACATAAAATTTATTTGTTACACCAGTTACAAAAAGGCAAAAAAAGAAAAAACAAGAAAAGTCCTTCTGCAGTGTGATTGCTTGTCTTTCCCTATGGGGAGTTCATTTAGATAACTTGGAAGTCAAAACTAATAAAAATGATACTTGAATTAGTCAAACATAGGAAGAGTGTATCCTGGGGCATAAGTGGAGCTTTTTTGTTTCGTTAAAGCCAAAGGCACAGAATGTTATGTTGAAAGAAGATATTTCCTTTAGAGCTTTAAGATAAAACATTTTTCGCATCAGGCCGCAATAGCAGTTAGAACCCGAGAGAAAAAATTTGAAGGAGTTATTATTTCATGTTTTCTCAAATGGGGGAGAAAACTGAAAACAATGAGATGCAATAAAAGTCGAAATTTGGGGTTAAAATAAATTAAATCTCTTGTAATTTTATTACGAGCAAATAAATAAGACAATTTTGGTGTTCCTACCAATTCTTTAGTGTGTTAGTGTATTTTTAATATCAAAGCCCAATATTTAGAAACACTTTTATAAATAATTTCCTTTTATTATAGCCAATGTGTTCATTTAAAGTTTTCTTTCTCATAAATTCTCTTTGTACAAATCTGATCATGACTTACACAAACCATTTGCATTATACTCAGACTTCCTGTTTTATCCTAAGCATCCCTCTCTCCTAAATAACCAATTATTTTACTTTAGGACAAAAATTATCTTACAAGATTATTTCCCATACACAATTATTTTCCTTTTAACCTTTACTAGCTGAAACGCCTCTTTATATTTATAACTTTCTTTGCATCTCTCTTATTTATTGGTTCCTTTTACTTTGTTTCATAAGTAATCTTTAAATAACTTTTGAATTAGGCAAAAATTATTTTCCTTTAAATAAGAACACATTTAAAAAATGATTTCCTATAATTTTTAAAACATTGGAAATGACCCAGACATTTAATGACCATCTTTTATTTAGTTTAATATAATTTTAGATTCTAAATAATATGACAAATTTATTTATAAGCATTTATTCCATTACATTTACCTGATTAATTTATTTTTAATAGTTTACCGTAGATTACTTATGAAAAATGTGATAGTTATTATTTAAAGTTATTTTCCTGTTAACCATTTGTATATCCTGTGAATTTCAGGTGTTTACTTAAGAATAATAAGGTTAAGTAATTCTTTTTGTCAATAACTCAAGATTTAGCTGTTTGTATTGAACAAGCAATATTAAATGCCTTATTTATAAAAAATGACACAAATAAAGATAATTCTCTTTTGGGCTGCATTTATAGCTTTATAACCCTCATGGCAAATTTTGACAGCTTATAATATCTAGCAGAGATAAATTTAAAACTATTTGACCAATAAATCTAAACAATAATGTATGCTGACAATTCTGAAGACATTTCTAATTTTATTTTACCAACGAGCTTACTTATTAAATATTAATTTAAGTCAGGTAAACTTAAAATGGATTTGGGCTTAAAGCCTCTATTTTTCTGATACAGCATTTGATTTAAGCACTTTTTTTTCTTTACGCCAATGAATTAGAGCTCTTTTTAATATTTTTTGTAGTGAAACATATACATGACATACATTATATATTAAATAAATACACAGATATATTAGATATGCAGGTAGAAGTACATCTTATAGATCCACAAGACCCTTTTCTTTTTCTGCTATTTTAGACTTTCAATTTCTTGATAATCTGTTTCATTACTCCAGGCAACTGTAAGCTGGAGAGCCCTAAATTTGCTTACTTAAGTAACAACTCTTAGGTGAAAATCAGATAGCAAAATTCACACTTCAAAGTACAGAGAGATAGAGGAGAGAGAGATAGAGAAGAGAGAAAGAGAGTCTGTTGTATGAGAGGGAGATTAAAAATAGATGCCAAATCAAACATAAAATTCTATCTTCCACAGGATTGTATAAGAGGACCAATTTTATTTAGTAGGTAGTTTTAAATTTAGTCTCTATCTTTTAACTGGATCACTGGGCTCTGAGCAAAGCTCCCACTGAATCCCAGGTCTGCAAAAAAAGGGCTGTCATGAGATTAAGCCACGTGATGCTTTTACACTGCACTTTGTTATAAAGACATTTCTCTGTCTAAACCACACCCTTTCTTATCTTAAACAATCAAGAGTAGCCCCTGTTGTAATAATTATTTAAGTCCAAAAAAATCATATAACACAATACAAAAACAAGTAGTTGAAGATCTGAGAGGAGCTTTTCTTTTTAAACTTTTGGAGTTTACGTAAGGAAAGACAAGGGTTTCTCTCCGAAAAGGAGTCTGGGAAAATAATGATTCCTCAATAGACTATAAAAGAAACTGGTAAAATGGTTTCTTCTGATTACATGGAAGAAAGATCACGGGCATAACGACTTTATAGTTCTTGTGTAAGAAATTATAAAACAAAACATTAGTATTCTGTGCTGCTTACTATTGAATGCAAAAAGGAAAACATGAAGTATTAATTTTAAGCTTGTTTTAAAATGGGAGTCCAAAACCATGACAATTTAAAGAAGCATTTGCTTCTCATACCCAATTTTTAAAATATTAAAATGAAGAAAGCCCTTGAGTTATAAAACAATTTAACCATTCTTATATTAATGATGAAATATCATTAATATTTCATCAATATCAAGTGTGATTTCAAACAATACCGCACTTATTGTTTAAACCTCTGTGCAAAATAAGAGTCTCAGATTAAAGAATAATATGGTTTTCAGCTAATCTTTTCTTTCCATTGGACAAAAATACCTTAGGAGATAAAGCTAATCATCTGTGCCATGCTAACATTGTGAGCCCAATATATTTGTGATAGATCCATAAAGAAGGCATAGAGATGAGAAAGCAAAGATGTATATAAATACAAGAAGCAGACTATAAATCTTACCATGAACATGATTATTTTCTCACAGTGCTCTCTGCAATCAAAGAAAAATAAAAGCCAATTAAAATTAAGGAAAGTATATAGGCCTGAGTTAATAAAGAGGCTAAGAACTTTAAAGATGTAAAGCTCCCTCTATGCCCTCCACATCTATTAGCAGAAAATGGAATGTACATAATTTTTCACCCAAGCTTCTAAGGCCAAAAAAAAAAAAAATGTAAATGAAGATTCCCCCAACAGGTGGAAACAGTGATTCTGGAGAATAATGTACACGGGAGCTTCTTTCAGAGACAAGAGTGAAGGCCTCGGCCGGGCGCGGTGGCTCATGCCTGTAATCCCAGCATTTTGGGAGGCAGAGGCAGGTGGATCACGAGGTCAGGAGATCGAGACCATCCTGGCTAACACAGTGAAACGCTGTCTCTACTAAAAATACAAAAAATTAGCCGGGCGTGGTGGTGAGTGCTTGTAGTCCCAGTAAGTAGGGTGGCTGAGGCAGGAGAATGGCGTGAACACGGGAGGCGGAGCTTGCAGTGAGCCGAGATCGTGCCACTGCACTCCAGCCTGGGCGACAGAGCGAGACTCCATCTCAAAAAAAAAAAAAAAAAAGAAAAAAGAATGAAAGCCTCCTTGTGTCTGCATCTACCAGAGGTCCTGAACTCTGAACTCAATGTCATGACAAAATGGGGATTTTGTCTCACTTGGGAACAGGATAATGTAACTTATGTGGAAAGCAAGTTAAACTAATATTTTCTTTCCAGCACAGTCATTCTAGCAATGCTAATAATCTGGCCTTCTGGCTTCTTTCAGAGAGGCCTGTAGTTGAGATTTCTTTTAGTCAATGAAATGTGAGTAGATGTGAACTGTCCCGTGTCTTGGCAGAAGCTCTAACGGGCAATGTGCAGTTCACCATGCTTCCTTCCTCCAGCTGTGATGTACTTGGAAGCACATGTTGAAACAGCGTCCATCACCTGACGTCTTGAATTGACTACCATGAAAAGAGGCTCTTACCAATCTCTGTACATCAAGTAGTGTAAACCCTTAGTTGTGTTATGTTGCTGTGATTTTGGAGTTGCTTTACAGTTGACCCTTGAACAACACGGGTTTAAACTGCATGGTTTCTTCTGCCTCCGCCATTCCTGAAACAGCAAAACCAACTTTTTCTCTTTCTCCTTCTCAGTCTAATCAACGTGAAAATGACAAGGATGAACACCTTTATGATGACCCACTTCCCTGTAATGAATAGTAAATGTAGTTTCTCCTCTTTATAATTATTTAATAACGTTCTTTTCTCTAGCTTGTTTTATTGTAGTAATATAGTATATAATATATATAACACACAAAATAAGTGTTAATCTACTGTTTATGTTACTGATAAGGCTTCTCATCAACAGGCTATTAGTAGTTAGGTGTGGGGGGACTCAAGTTATAAACAAATTTTTGACTGTGTAGGGAATTGGTATATCTAACTCCCATGTTGTTCAAGGGCCAACTGTATTTTACCCTGTTCAAGGGTCAACTGTATTTTATCCTGTTCAAGGGACAACTGTATTTTATCCTGTTCAAGGGTCAACTGTATTTTACCCTGTTCAAGGGTCAACTGTATTTTATCCTGTTCAAGGGTCAACTGTATTTTACCCTGTTCAAGGGGCAACTGTATTTTATCCTGGCAAACATTTCCTATATTATGTGGAACAAAAATAGTTTTACTTAGTTTTTTATTTAAAAAAATGAATGAGATATGTGTGTGTGTGTGTGTGTGTGTGTGTGTGTGTGTGTGTGTAGTCATCGCTCAGTATTTATGGGGGACTGGTTTTTCAGGACCTCTTACAGATACCCAAATCCACAGATACTCAGGTCCCCAATATAGAATGGTGTAGTATTTGTGTATAACCTATGCACATCCTTCCAAAATTTTAAATCATTTCTAGATTCCTGATAATATCTAATAAAATGTAGGTGCTATATACACAGTGGTTACACTGTATTATTTAGGGAACAATGGCAAAAGTCTATACATTTCAGCTTTGCTTTTGTAAAAAACAATATAACAACGTAGCTCATCTGAAATTCCTCTTGCTGGAAAAAATAAAAATTTGTTGTTGAAATAACTTAATATAGTCATAAATATATAGGTTATCTTGCAAGAAAATAAGGGAAATTCTGAAAATAAAACAAAAGAAAAGCCTAAGCTTCTAATGTGTATATAATCTCATGACATGGATGCCTAGAGGAATTTGTGCATGTTCACAACTAAGGTGTTTCTGTTTTATACGTGTGACATAACATGTGTATACTGGGAATAGGGAGCAGGGCAGGAGATAAAGCCTTAGGCCAATTCATGACTTGGAAACATGTAACTGAGGCTGAAAATTCTAAGAAATTCACAATTAAAAAGTAGGCTACAGAAAGGAAATTTGCCTATCTTCGCTTGTATTCTATGTGGGAAAAAAAGTTCACCTGAAAATTTATGTCCTTAAGCAAGCATGAAGATGCAGTCTTTTAAAAAATTCTGTATGTTTAAGTTGTACTGCAAGATGTTTTGGTATACATATATAATGAAGTGATTACTACAGGTCAAGTGAATTAACATATCCAGTATTTCCCATAGTTACATCTCTTTTTTCTTCTTTTCTTCTTGTGATGCAAGTCTGGAAATTGAGAAATTACCATATAAAGGGGTGGGTTGCTAATAATTCAGTAGACGTACATGGTAAAAGCTATCATAGAAATGCTCTTGAGTAAAACATCAAGCAACTCATGATAAAAGAATCTGTCTAAGCAAAAGTCGGCACTGTGAATGTATAAGTAAAGGTAAATAAAATGAAAAGAAAGAGAAAATAAATGACAGACAACCATGGAATACAATATTTGTTTCTAAAATAAAGTAATGTAAGAATAGATTAAAAATACAAGAAAAAAACCCATGTAATATAATAATATGTGAAGTCGAGAAATAATCAAATTAAAATTAAATATGCAGTGATGCAGTAAGCAGTAAACTAGTATAATTTAACAGACAATTAGCCAAATGACACAGGAACTTTAACAAATGGACAATATAAAGAAAGTTTATGAGACATGTAGGGTGTTAAAGAAGTTCCATTAACAGAATAAATGAAACTGAGTATTTACTCTGAGAAGGCTAAGAATATTCCGGGTAAAATGGAAAACATGCATCTTCAGATTCAGCAAGCACAGCGGGTCTTAAGCAGAATAAATAAGAATCAATCTGCACCTGGACATTGTCATAATTAAATTACAGAAGCATAAATGGAATAATAGTTATTTAATGTATGTAAATTAAACACACACACACATACACACAAACACACACTACATATTACCTCCAAAAAATGAGAATTTGATGACTTTTTTAAATAGCAAGAATAAGCTAGAATATAATGAGGAATTTGAAGTTACTGGAAGAAAATTTCTGTGATTTCACAATTCTATATCAAGATAAGCTTAAAGAGAAAATATGAAATAATAATATGTTAATACCAAAATAGAAAGCTTTGTACTAGCAGAACCTCATTCTACAAGCTAGTAAAAGATGTGCATCCAGAAAAAGAAATGACAATGCATGTAAGTAGTTAGGGCTAAATACATCCCTTCATAAGTGATAGCTGACCAGTGAATGAATACAAGATGAGTTAGCCATGTGAAAGAGAATGAATGGGGTATAAAGTGGGGATTCTTAAAACAGTACTTCAAATATATAAAATATCATCATGGAGCCTAAGAAAACGATCCTAGTACAGACCTAGGGGCTACATGTTGGTATAGTATCAAAAGCCATGTAACTGCCAGGTTACATGCTGTTGCAGGAAGGTGTGCTGTTACTCACCCATAATGGGGAAGCACTGGAAGAATTTAAGTAGATTGCTGACATTCCAATTGTATTTCAGAAATATGGATAGTGCAATAATTTTGTGGACAGATTGTAATGAGAGGCAAACAGACATGTAAGGAAGTTTTTGAAAAAAACGTAATGAAAGTGTTTTATGAACAGAAAAGTTTTGTAAATAATGGTGTAAAGAAAGAGAAAAAAATCTATACTGCCTTTTTTTTTTTTGGTTTGAGTGTCTGGGAGGATATTGTTCAAATTTATTATTGTGGTACAACTTAACCAAGGCAAAAAATGAGTAGTCACCTTCAACTGTATTACAATTGAAAGTCCTCTCAGTCAAACCTCCCAGAACCTTAGAGTTTACAATTTTTGGATTTCTTCACTTATCCCTTGCATGAGTTAGATTTCTCCAGATTGCTGTTGTTTCTTATAGGGAGTAAGAGCAGAGACTGGTACACGATGGTGTAGAGCTACAACGACTGAGTCTCTCTGAAATAGAGCAAATCTTTCGGAGGTAATGTAACAATGTGCCTACGAAAGTAATCACAACATTACATCTACAGTTCATCTGAAGCTAATGAAATCATTTGGTGTGACCAAGACAATGAGGAGATGAATGCTGACCATTGCATTTTTTGATGAAAGAAAATTATCTTGTGCTAATTGTATGGGTTGTTTCTATTTCCTAATGAACTCTATTTTTAACTGTTAAAGTTTTAGTTATCAGATTTATCAGTTATCAGAAAAACACAAGTCTTATCGGCTAATGAATGCGATTTTTCTCTCCATTCAGTTATCCTTGTTACCAGGACTTGTTCAACAATAGACATTTTAATTTTTACATATAGTTATTCTTACAGATAATTGAAAAATGTAGTAGTAAAAATATAAGAATAGAGGAAGAGTAACTAGTTAAGAGACAAATGAAGATGTCTAGGTGAGCAATTATGATGGCTTAGGCTCTGGAATTAGCAGTATAGATGATAGAAGTGAAGAGATTCAGGATTGGATATAAAAACATAAAAGAGTTAAGATTAACTCATAGGTTTTATGCCTGCACAACTGTATAAATTGCAGTGCCTTTTACTAAGTTAGGGAACATAAGGGAAAAAGCACATACAGTGAATATAGTGGAATCAGTTTTAAGGATACATTTTTTTTCTATGTGAACTTTGAAGAAAACAACTTAACAATTAAAAGATGTAAAGCGAGTGCTGTATAATTAATTCTGTAGCTCACGGAAAGAGTCTATTTCTGACTACAGATAAACCTTTTTTTTAGACACTTATAAATTTTATATAAAACAAAGATTCTGGATAAAAATATGCCGAAATCGAATGCAGATAAACGAAAGGCTCAACACACTTCTTGGGTTATCCCAGGGTTTAGATTTGGGGGATGGAGGAAACAAATTTTAAAAATGACCAGTGTTACAAGTTGATATCCAAGAGAAATCTCTGATAGAAGACAAGAAAAAGGGAGAAATGTATATCAAATGTGTCTAATATATTGAATGAATTGTGAATTAAAATTAGTATTAGATTGGAGATAACGGGAATCTTTCTACCAAGTGATAAACTGGTTTCAAGAGATTTAAGCAGAAGATAAAGGGGAACAATACTAATAGGGCATTCTTTGATAATTGGCTGCAACATAGAAGAGTGAAATATAGTGGTAACTAGAGGACGATGTTGGTTGAAGGAGCTTTTTGTGATAAAATATGTTACAATATATCCTTATGTTTGGGGGTTTCATTTTCATTTTTTATTTTTTTGAGACAGAGTCTTGCTCTGTTGCCCAGGATACAGTGTAGTGGTGTGATATCCACTCACTGCAACCTCTGCTCCCAGGCTCAAGTGATCCTCCCACCTCAGCATCCCAAGTAGCTGAGAGTACAGGAATGTGCCACCATGCCTGGCTAATTATTTTGTATTTTTAGTAGAGGCAGGGTTTTGCCACGTTGCTTAGGCTGGACTGGAACTCCTGGACTTGCCTAGGCTGGACTTGAACTCCTGGACTCAAGCAATCCACTCATCTCAGCCTCCCAAAGTGCTTGGATTACTGAGCCACCATGCCAAGGGATAGTGTATCCTTATATTGATAGGAATTATGATGCAGGAAGAAGAAAGGAACTTGCAAGAAAAAATTTTAGTATAGGTATATGAGTGGGATACTGATGGTTTGACTTTTTTTCTTTTTTTGAGACGGAGTCTCACTCTATCGCCCAGGCTGGAGTGCAGTGGCGCGATCTCGGCTCACTGCAAACTCCACCTCCCGTGTTCACGCCATTCTCCTGTCTCAGCCTCCCGAGTAGCTGGGACTGCAGGTGCCCGCCACTGCGCCCAGCTAATTTTTTGTATTTTTAGTAGAGACGGGGTTTCACCGTGTTGCCAGAATGGTCTCAATTTCCTGACTTTGTGATCCGCCCGCCTCGGCCTCCCAAAGTGCTGGGATTACAGGCGTGAGCCACCGTGCCCGGCCGACTTTTAATAGGATAGAAACATTTGGAATTCAGTTATTATAATAGAAGGAAAAAATAGTTTGGTAAATTTGGGACTGTGCAGAGGTGGAAGACCTCTTCTGATTGCATACATTTTCTCAGTAATGTAACAAAATCATCAGCTGATAAAAGGAGAAAAAAAAATGGAAGAAACAGTAGCATAGAAAAGTGGAAAAAATAACTGATGTGGGAAGTACAGGAGAACCACCTAGAGACTTATACTGATGAATTAAAGATGAGTGTATGTGTTGGATGGGGGTGGCAGGGAGAGTTGCCCAGCTATATTCACTACTCCAGTGCAGACAGAATGTTTAACTTAAGGGTACTGTGATCCGCACTCCCTCAATCTCAGGAGTTTTAATAGATGGAGAGAAAGCAAACCTCAGTGTTTATGCACTGAGGGTCATTATGCAATGACCCTTATATGTGTGGGTCATTGGTTCTAAGACCTGTATGCATCAACACTAGAATGAGAGGGTTGATAAAATGTGAAAATATATGCATGTTTAGCTTATGCATCACAGGAGGGCCTATATAATTTTAGAATTAGGGTATTTGAGTGACTGAGCTATCAAGATAGATGGTGGTTGCCAGACGAAGCCATGATTAAAAGTAAGACCCAAGAGTTGGTTCAATTATTGTTAATTTAAAATCTAGTTGTGGCCATTAGATTGGGATGACTGGGGTGCGGTGGAAGACAAATGTGTTAGAGAGGAGAAAGTTGCACAGAACTATGGAGAACAGATCATCTTTTTATACTAAAAGATCTTGAGTAATGAAAATGTTACCAAAACACCAGGGGCAGTCTAGGTCCTGCTGATCACTGTGCATAAAGCCAATTACTGAGATGAAGAGTATTGCCAAGGACGAAGGCCTTAATTGGGTGCTGCTTCTAAGGAGATGGGAGCTCAGTCTCAAATCCATCTCCCTGACCAACTAAAAGTAGGGGTTTATATAATAGAAAAGAAATGTAACAATGTGTAAGAAAACAGTAACTAGGGAGGAACAAGGAAGCAATCAGGATGAATAAGGGATCCTGGCATCTTATTATCTGGAAATGGTTATCTGGTGAGTTTCAGTTCTTTGCTACTTTTTTTTTTTTGAGAGGCCTGAGGTGATTTCCTGATGAAAGAACTCAGATAAAACAAATACAAGTTTCATGCTTTAAGACCAGAAGGGTCAATTCCTATGTTTACCACAAACAAACAAAAAGGCTGGGAGTGGGGGCTCACACCTGTAATCCCAGCACTTTGGGAGGCTGAGGCAGGTGGATCACGAGGTCAGGAGTTTGAGACCAGCCTGACCAACATGTTGAAACCCCGTCTCTATTAACAATACAAAAATTAGCTGGGCTTGGTGTTGCATGCCTGTAATCCCAGCTACTCAGGAGGCTGAGGCAGGAGAATCACTTGAACCCAGGAGGTGGAGGTTGCAATGAGCTGAGATAGTGCCACTGCACTGCAGCCTGGGTGACAGAGCGAGACTCCATCTCAAAAAAAGAAAAAAACAAAAACAAAAAAACAGTCTGTGTGACAATTAGGCTGGTTTCAAAAACACAACTGGACAACTGGTATAATACAATGAATTTCTTCACTGGATAAGGGCAATTAGCAGATGGAAATTTATGACTCTGACAGAATGAAATAAAATTTTACAATCTGAGGGCATGAAGATCAAAGCCCTGGTCTTTCTGACAGTATGTATGTTAAAAAACTTGGGGGAGCTTCAATTATTTGTGGGATCATGGATCTGGAAGGTAAGGCATGTAGGGCATGACATGCCACCAAATCATTTTCTTTTATGTATGATTTTACAACATCAGATTTAAAGACTATTGAGTAAAAATATATTTTCTTATAAAACATTTTAAAACCCTTTATTGTTCACAGGGCCTGAGTTTAAACTTAATGTGGACTCTTGCCATTTGTTAATTGAAGCATTTCTGATGAGCATTCTAATTCCATCAAACTCACATACTGGATCTGTTATTTTATACTGATTATTTCCATGTAGGCTCCAATGCAAATTAGCATCTAACTTACAATACCTCAAAGGAGTTCCAGAACATGACCATTTAGTACTTCAGAAATCAAAGTTGCATTATTTTTATACAGTAATTATATCAGATGTATGTATGCCTCTTGTCTTTCAAGCCTGAAATTAATTTTTGGAAATCTGCATTTTTACCATATGATAAGCATTGAGTCTCAAGAAACAGTTTGCTTCAGTGAAGAATGAGTCAAGGGTATTGCTTTCAGTCTTTAATAGAATGCAGATTACCTACTGAAAAGGAAGGCCTTTATTTCATAAATTGAATAGAAAGATAAGTGAAAATAATTGTAAGTATTTAAAAGTAGATCACCTGAAAAAGTCAAATCTAAATATCTCTCTTGAGAGCCTGTACTTTTATTTAAATAAAAAGTATTTTCATTTATTTTAAAGATTTTAATGTTTTGTTCTATTCATTTTAAACTAGATTTGACTAGCATGAATAATTCAGCATTAAATTTTTTATTTAAAAAATAAATTCTTAAACGTTATTATTTGATAAAAAGCACATCTTCTATATTCATTAAAACTAAACCTCATATAGAAAACATTCATTCTTCTAATTTGCTAGCAACTCAACCTTTTAATGAATGACATAAGCTACCACTAGTCACTCATTCTTAAAGCAAGAAAAGAGTAGAGTCAGATAATTATAAAACTAAAAGAAAGAAAAACAGAAATGGAGATCTACCTGAAATTCTGTATTCTACAAAATGATCCTTTAAAATGGAAGAATACTTTTTTCTGAAAAATAAAAATTGCAGAAATGTGTTGCCTGTAAACTTGTCTTGCAAAAAGTGTTTTAAAAAGTTATTTAGGAAGAAAAATGATATAGTTCAGAAACTTGTATCTACATGAGGAAAGGAAAAGCATTAAAGTAATAAACACAGATAAATAAAATATTGTATTTTTCTAATTCCTAGTAGATCTAGGAGATAGAAGTTTGTTAAAGTAATAACAACAAAATTTGTATTTGTTAATTATAGCAAGTATGAAAATGAAATACATGATGATGTTATGAGGGGCAGATGGGACAAATTCAGAGTATTTTCTTACAAGATACGTGTAGTGCACATGAAGTGGTATATCATTATTTGAAAGAAGATGCCAGGCACAATGGCTTATGCCTGTAATGTCAGCACTTTAGGAGGCTGAGGAGGATCACCTGAACTCAGGAGTTTGACACCAGCCTGGGCAACATAGTGAGACCTCATCACCATTGAAAAAAAAATAGCCTCATGCAGGGGCGTGTACCTGTAGTCCAGTCTTGGGAGGCTGAAGTGGGAGGATCACTTGAGCCTGTAAGGTCAAGGCTGCAGTGAGCTGAAATTGTACCACTGCACTCCAGCCTGGGCAACAGAGTGAGAAAGTGTCTCGAAAAAAAAAAAAAAAAAAAGAAATCCTGAAAGAAGACTTCATACCTACAATAGTTGTAAATTATATTGTAACCTTTAGGGCTAATACTAATGAAAGATAAAAGCATAATTAAAATGCTAAGAGAGGAGAGAAAATGAGATTATTAAAAAAAGTGATCAATTAACACCACAGAAGGCAGAAAAAAATAGTGGATGCCGAATGATGGTTACTAGAGGCTGAGAAGGGTAGCGGGGAGGGGAGGATACAGCGAGGATGGTCAATGGGTGCAAAAGTATGGTTTGATAGTTTGAATAAGACCTAGTATTTGACAGCATAACAGGGTGACTACACTCAACAATAGTTTATTATGTATTTTAAAATAAAATAAATAAAAGACTGGAATTCAGATTTTCTTAATACAAAGAAATGATAAATGCTTGAGGTGATGGATATCCCAATTATCCTGATTTGGTGATTACACATTGTATCCCAGCATCAAAACATCATATGTGACCCATAAATGTATACACAAAAATAACAAGAACAACGGATAGAAAGCAGTTACAGAATGATAGACATGAATCCAAATATGTCAATAATCACTTTAAACTTCAATGGTCTAAGTATACCAATTAAAAGATAGAGTGGATACAAAGTTGAGACCCACCTATATGTTGTCATCAAGAAATCTTTAAGAGAGAGACATTAAAAGTGAAGGGATGGAAAAGATACGGCATAGTAGCAGTAATAATCTAAAGATAACAGAGGTACTATATTCATTTGCTAGGGCTGTTATAACAAAATACCACACACTGACTTAAACAACATAAATTTATATTCTCACAGTTCTGAAGGCTAGAAGTCTGAGATGAAAGTTTTGGCCTGGTTGGTTTCTTCTACGGCCTCTTTCCTTGTCTTGTAGACAGTAATCTTCTTTCCATCTTTAAATGGTCTTACCTCTGCGTGTGTCTGGATCTTCCTTTAAAGGACACAAATTGTAATGAATTAGGGCCCATACTACCAAAACTCATGTTAACTTAATTTTCATTTTAGAGATGCTATCCCTAAATGCAGTCATACTCTGAGGTACTAGGGGTTAGGACTTCAACATAAGAATTTTAGACGAACACAATTCAGCTCATAACTCGTAGTTATATTAATTTTAGACAAATCAGACTTCAGGGGAAAATAAAATATCAGGGATAGAGAGAGGCATTACATGATGAAAAAGCAGTCATTTCTCCAAGAAGGTGTAACAATCCCTAATGTGAATGTCTTTAATAATAATGGCAATATATGTAAGGCAAGAACTCATAGAAATGCAAGGTGATATAGATAAATTTATTGTTATATTTGGAAATGTTGAGACCCCCCTATGAGTAACTGACAGATCAAGGAGGCAGAAAATCAGTATAGTTGAACAAAATTGATACCATTGAATTGAACATCATCATCAATCTACTGCATACACTTGATATTTATAGAATACTTCATCCACCAACAGGAGAATACACATTTTTCTCAAGATGTCATGAAACATTCAGTAAAATAGACCACATTCTGGGCAATAAAACACACCTCGGCTGGGCGCGGTGGCTCACGCCTGTAATCCCAGCACTTTGGGAGGCAGAGGCGGGCGGATCATGAGGTCAGGAGATCGAGACCATCCTGGCTAACACAGTGAAACCCCGCCTCTACTAAAAAATACAAAAAATTAGCCGGGCGTGGTGGCGGGCGCCTGTAGTCCCAGCTACTCGGGACGCTGAGGCAGGAGAATGGCGTGAACCCGGGAGGCGGAGCTTGCAGTGAGCCGAGATCGCGCCACTGCACTCCAGCCTGGGCAACAGAGCAAGACTCCGTCTCAAAAAAAAAAAAAAAAAAAAAAAAAAAAACCACACCTCAACAAATTATTTTTAAAAAGTAATGTCAAAGTATATTTTTAGACCAAAATAGAATTAAAGGTGAGATCAATAATTAAAAGATACTTGGAAAATTCCAAATATATGGAAATTAAATAACACATTTCTAAATAACATCTAGGTCTCAGGATAAGTCTGAAAAAAATTTATAAATATTTTGAACTCCATAAAAAGAAAATAAACTTACTGCAATTTGTATGATGCAGCAAAATAATTCCTAGAGGGTAAGTTGTAGCAGAAAATGTATACGTTACAAAAGAAGAAATATTTAAAATCAGTATTCTAGTATCACAAATTATGACACTAAAAAAATTGTAAATCCCAAATAAGTAGAATAGTAAAAATTCGAGAATTAATAAAATTCGAAACAGAAAATCAGTGAAAAGTATGCTATTAGACAACATCAATAAAACTGATAAGCCTCCAACCAACTAACCAACAAAAAAGAAAGGAGACACAAATTACAAGTAACAGAAATATTACTACTGATTTCATGGATATTAAAATGATAGGGAATATTGTGAATGAAACTATGTCTATAACTTTGATAACCTAGATAAAATGGACCAATTTTTTGAAAACACAATTAGAAATAAAACTAGAAGAAATAAACAATCTGCATAGGCCTTTATCTATTAAATAAATTGAATAAACAATTAACTTTTAAAACAGAAAGCATCAGACCTGGTGATTATGTGTCTGGAATTGGTGGGCTCTTGGTCTCACTGACTTCAAGAATGAAGCCATGGACCCTTGTGATGAGTGCTACAGTTCTCAAAGATGGTGAGTCCGGAGTTTGTTCCTTCTTGCTTCTGGTGGGTTCACGGTCTGGCTGACTTCAGGAGTGAAGCTGCAGACCTTTGCGGCGTTACAAGTCATAAAGGCGGCGCCGATGGAAAGAGTGAGCAGCATTAAGATTTATTGCGAAGAGTGAAAGAACAAACCTTCCACTGCCTGGACGTGACCCCACTGCATTGCCATTGCTTGCTGGGGCGGCCTGCTTTTATTCCCTTATCTGGCCCCACCCACATCCTGCTGATTGGTCCATTTTACAGAGAGCTGATTGGTCCGTTTTACAGAGCTGATTGATCCATTTTGACAGAGTGCTGATTAGTGCATTTAGAAACCTTTAGCTAGACACAGAGTGCTGATTGGTGCGTTTACAGTCCTTTAGCTAGACACAAAAGTTCTCCACGTCCCCATCAGATTAGCTAGACATAGAGTGCTGATTGGTGTGTTTACAATCCTTTAGCTAGGCACAGAGTGCTGACTGGTGCATTTACAATCCTTTAGCTAGACACAAAAGTTCCCCGTCCCAGAAGCCCAGCTGGCTTCACCTCTCACTGGCACTGGCTGCAGGACTTTGTGGCACCTAGCCCGCGCACTTCGGCAGCCCAGATGGAGCTCATCTCAGACAACCAAGCGGAAAAGAGGGGAAGCCAGAAAGAGATGGAGACCCAACATTGTGGCCAATGAACCCGCGAAGAGGGAATGGCGTCCACGCATGGGACCCAGCCTCTGATCAAGCCCAGCAGGTGCCGGCTGGCCACACAGAGTGCGGGGCCCACCGAGCCAGCGCCCACCCTGAACCCGCACCGGCCGGCGAGCGCAGCATGCAGCCCAGACTCCGGCCTGTGCCTCTCCCTCCACACCTCCCTGCCAGCAGAGGGAGCCAGCTCTGGCCTCGGCCAGCCCCAGGGAGGGGCCCCCACAGCCAGCCCCAGAGATGGTCCCCCACAGCGCAGCTGCGGGCTGAAGGGCTCCTTGAGCGTGGCCAGAGCGGACGCAGAGGACGAGGAGGCGCCCAGAGCAAGCAAGGGCTGCTAGCACGTTGTCACCTCTCAATTAGCGGGGGCTACCCCAAGGTCCACAAGCCTACCTGGTGAGGGAGTCATGAGTAAAAGTAAGGTTATATTCTAGTTATTTAGAAAATATTTCTTTCATTCTTTAAATTTTTTATCTGCTTTTTTATATTGCTAAAGCACTACTAATAAAATACTAATTCGGTTGTACTCAAACTTTTTTTCTACTAAAAATAATCTAGGTGAATGGTAAATTAAAAAAAATTGGGAAATAAACGGCCTGGCGCAGTGGCTCACGCCAGTAATCCCAGCACTTTGGGAGGCTGAGGCAGGCAAATCACAAGGTCAGGAGATTGAGACCATCCTGGCCAACAGGGTGAAACTCTGTCTCTACTAAAAATACAAAAATTGCCCGGGCGTGGTGGCTCAGGCCTGTAATCCCAGCACTTTGGGAGGCCGAGGCAGGTGGATCACGAGGTCAGGAGATCGAGACCATCCTGGCTAACATGGTGAGACCCCACCTCTACTAAAAATACAGAAAAATTAGCCAGGCATCGTGACAGGCACCTGTGGTCCCAGCTACTTCGGAGCCTGAGGCAGGAGAATGGCATGAACCCGTGAGCGGAGCTTGCAGTGACCCGATCTCGGCTCACTGCAAGCTCCGCCTCACGGGTTCATGCCATTCTCCTGCCTCAGCGATTCTCCTGCCTCAGCCTCCCCCAGTAGCAAGTGCTGGGATTACAGGCATGAGTCACCATGCCCAGCCCATGAGGGCCTTTAAAAGATGTGAGGTTGTAAGGATCCCTTCTGTAATGAGCAACGTTTACAGATCAGAGATGTTTTACTTCTTTTTTTTGAGATGGAGTTTCGCTCTTGTTGCCCAGACTGGAGTGCAATGGCGTGATCTCAGCTCACTGCAACCTCCATGTTCAAGCAGTTCTCCTCCCTCAGCCTCCCGAGTAGCTGGGATTACAGGCATGCGCCATTACGCCCGGCTAATTTTGTATTTTTAGTAGAGACTGGGCTTCTCCTTCTTGGACAGGCTGGTCTCGAACTCCCGACCTCAGGTGATCCGCCCCCCTCGGCCTCCCAAAGTTCTGGGATTACAGGCGTGAGCCACCGCGCCCGGCCCCATTTTGATAATCTTTTATTAGGAAAAAAATATCATGAACATTACCTGAGTTTTCTTATTTAATGCAGCATACATCACTGCTATTCCATTAAAACAGACAATTTTCTCACATTTTCCAGCAGGTGGCAGCACAGACTCGCTATTTGAACCAAGTTTACGCTTCTAAATAGGCAAAAAGAAATGGTAAAAAGACATGAATACAGAATATTTAGAAACATTTTGGGGCACTATAAAACATCTTTATAAAAATGTTAATAGTGGCAAAAATCATGTTTTCATTATTGTAAATCATATTTGTGTAGGAAAAGTAAAATTCAAGATCATGGTGAGTTACCCTTTGAATTAGAACTTTTCTTAGAATCATCTCAGGCACATTTAATGAAGCTTTCTTTGAGAGACTATTAGTGTTTAATAAATCTAAAATAGAATAAAAGTTGCTTTGAAAATCTGCCTTAATTAGTGATACATATCTTTTTTATTGTACATAATCCTAATACTACGTTGGATATTTAATTAAAGAATAAAACAACATTAGAACTCTTGCTTTAACATGAATTCTACTCAGTAGAATTGCCATATGCAAGAGAAAATATCTGCATTACCCAAACTAGCTTTTCTCCTCTGTTCTCTAACATCGCCGTCCAACTGATTGTATCAAGTGGTAAACTCGATTTTTTCAAGCTGTCCGTCTCCCTCTTCCCCATTCCATGTATCAGCTCTTGTCATGTCTTACTAATCTCTTACCACTTACATTTTATGGGATCTGTCTAATCTTTTCTATTTCCCTGCCACTTCTCTGATCTGAGCCACCATATTATTTAGATAACCTCTTTGTCTCACAAAACATCCACCAGCCTCAGTATTTTACTATTACTGTGCATTGGAGTGAGAAAAATTTCTGTAGCAAAAATTATGTTATATCCTTGCCTTTCTAAATCTATGGAAGGCTTTGTCAGTGCTCCTTAGATAGAGTTAACCTCCTTTACTCAACAAGTTAAGATAATTTGTTAGGTGCTGGAGTATAAATAATGAATAAAGAAGAAATTGGCCTCAACTACTGAGTGTAAGTATTTCAGGGAAAATTAATGAAAAATACATATAAAATTAATATTAATATAAAAATTAATATTGTAGTTTGACTGTGTTAAAGAAGTTCAGCATGTTAAGGGAGCATAAAATAAAAGAAAGTGGTCCAAAAATTCTCTCTGAGCAATGCTATTTATGTTAAGGATTCCAAGAGGGAGGAATGAAACAATCGAGGAGGGAGAGAAAAATGAATGGGCAAGTAGAATGGGTGGAGACCATGACACTGTGTATGAGCTGTATCCTCCTATGCAGCTTGAGTGACATGCTGAAGAAGTACTCGCTTATATTTGAACTTTGTTGTCATCGAAGAATTGATTCATGGGAAATTCCCTGATCAGATTTGTAATTTAGGAACTCAAATTGCATGAGAGGAATGATTTGTGGCTGGGAGTGAGGGGAGTGAAACACAAAACAAGGAAAGGATCTATCTACTTAAGAACATAGTTTTTAAGGCCTTTAGTGGAGTTGTGGAAACAGTGCTGAGGAATGAAAAAAGTGTAAGAATGATAAAGTATTTCAACAGAAGAAATTACATTGCAGAAAGGACTCTGTAATGAGTCTTAAGATTGTAACCTGTGTAGGCCGGGTGCAGTGGCTCACGCCTGTAATCCCAGCACTTTGGGAGCCCGAGACGGGTGGATCACGAGGTCAGGATATCGAGACCATCCTGGCTAACAAGGTGAAACCCCGTCACTACCAAAAAAAAAATACAAAAAATGAGCCGAGCGTGGTGGCGGGCGCCTGTAGTCCCAGCTACTCGGGAGGCTGAGGTGGGAGAATGGCGGGAACCCGGGAGGCGGAACTTGCAGTGAGCCGAGATGGCGCCACTGCATTCCAGCCTGGGAGACAGAGCGAGACTCCGTCTCAAAGAAAATAAAAAAATAAATTAATTAAAAGAAGATTGTAACCTGTGTAATGTATAGAACTGAAATGTCATTACTAAACTAGTAAATATAGAAGAACCAACAAGATGATTGATTAATACAAGCTAATTTTGTATATTTTGAAGTTGAGCATCCTGTGAGACTGCCAGTTGTCTATCACAAACAGAATTTCGATAAAAGTTTGAACCTCAAGATGGAGTGATAGTTCAGTATCTAGGGCTTAGTGGAGGCTGGAGCTAACCACAAGGAGCTGAGGTACCAGTGCTGTGGTGAAACGGGAAAAGTTCCCTTATCCCCCTCGCAGGGCGTGAGATGGGGGTGTAGCTCATGGGGGTGTACCTCACTTCTTCGGTGCCCCGTTGTTCAAGCCTCTAAGGGAAGCATGCAGACGGGCCGGCTGTGAGGCTCTGATCCCATAGCAGCGTCTAGAGGTGAATGTTTACAGCTCCTGAACCCCCAGTGGGCATGTGTTACAGGGTGCTCTTTTAGGTTAGCTGTCTGGAGGCGGCTTGTGTTAGCTCAGTTAGATCCCTGCCTTATCACAAGGACAGAGGGCTTTCTGTATCCTGGGGTTTCTTGCCTTGATGTACCAGAAGAATAGGATCACCCGTGGGCTTGGAGAATGAGTGCAGGGTTTTACTGAGTAGAAGTAGCGCTCAGCAGATGCGGGAGCCTGAAGGGAGATAGAGTGGAAAGGTGGTTTTCTTCTGTATTTGGGCTGCTCAGCGGCTGGGCTCTCCTCTGACTGCCCCGGCCGAACTCTACATCTTCCCACTGGTCCATGGCCTGCCAGCCTGCTGGTCCCTATTGATGTGCCCTTACGCCAGCGTGTTCCTCTTGATGTTCAGCCACTTGTGTGTACCCACTAGGGTGTTGGGGTTTTTATAGGCACAGGATGGGGGCGTGGCGGGCCAGGGTGGTCTTAGGAAATGTAACATTTGTGCAAGAAAACAACTGTCTGTTTTCACCTAGGTCCATGGGCACAGGTACTGGAGTGGAGCCCTAGCCAGGCACCCGCCCTTCTCTACCCAACACTTCCCTACCCCTCTCCCGTATCAATGGAAGTAAAGATAGTGTGCTTCAAACTCTCTTTTCAAGACATCTGGCTGCGAAAAGATTAAAAATATAGAACAGAAACAGTGGAGAAAATGCCTGTGTTTTGTTTCATATCTTGAGTTTCGTTTCATATCTTAGGATGGGAGGAGCATAAATCTTAAATACTGAGGTCAAAGAGCCAGCGAAAAGTAGTGGCTAAAGAATCATCACGAGTACATATTCAATGATACAACATCCCACAGGTGTGGGAGGCACGCAGGTGATAGAGAACACAGGAAATGTGATGTTGAGTGCGAGAGCAGCCGCCAGCCTCTTCCATATGGACATGAGGGGAGGATGGGTGAGAAGGTGAAGATTTTTGTAGGTGAAAAACAAGTTCACTTTGGTTTCCCACTTTTAAAATAGAAAATGAGACAATCAGCTGAGAACAAACAAGATGATTGTAGTTTGGGGCACGTTAGTAAACAAATGAAACTTTATAAGTCTACTTCAGGGAAAGAAAAAGAACTGAGTAGAAGCACGAAGAAGGACTAAATGCAAGAAACAAATCATATTTCAATTCTAGATTATAGAACATTAAAGTCAGCTTTCAATGCCGTGAGAGACAGTGAGGTCATATAGTGGATAATGGGTGTTAAATATTTCAGAGGTGGTATATTTTGGGGTCACCACCTCACATAAAAAGACTGGTAAGTTTACAAAAATATGTCCTACTACTCCTTTACAAAGGGTAACAAAAAGCACAAAACACAACAAACTAATATCAGAGATTTTTAATAGGAAATTTACAGTAAAATTAGAGTATGAAGAATATGTTTGAACAATGTGTTAAACAATATACGTTTAAAGCAGGATGGATATATAAGAATGGCACAGATATAAATATTGTTTAGGAACTTATAAGAACATTGATGTTATTAAGAGGAAAACTTGTGCACCTCACAATAAACTTCAAAATCCTACTGATCAAGATAAAAATAAAGAGAGATGGAAGTGATAGATTTCTCACTCAAATGCTGTGCAATTGCCTAAGAACCTTTTCCTTTTCTTTCTCAGTCTACCTCTTCAGTGATAGATTGCTCTACAGCAATCTCTTTTTTCCTCATCTCAATCAACCTTCCATTTTTCTCCTTTGAGTACTTTGGGCCCCAACATTTTCCCTCTTTGGTCAATTTGACCTTCTTTCTGATTTCATATTTCTTTCTCTTTTTTTTTTTTTCTAACTTGTTACATTTATGTGTAACTACTCTGTACTCAGCCTGGTGTTAAATCAACTTTTTAAGGTGTATTATATTAAAGAGCAATATTATAATGATTTAAATACTATTGATTGTTTTGCCTGACTTTATTCTGGAACTCAAGAAACATAAACAAATATATTTTTTTAAAAAATCATTTTTGTCTCAAAAGACAAAACTGTGGACTACAGCAGAGAAAATAATTTAATTTTGCTACACTAGTAAAATTCATTTCTTTTTATTGAAGATAAGTTTTGTAAAATCAGCAGACAAAAAAATCATCTGGTTTATGAGGTAAATGATGGTTTTCTTTATTTATAAAACACATATTTCTTTAAAATGCTTCTCCATTTTTATTTTTTCACATACTGAACTAGTCTGTTCTCATGCTGCTAATAAAAAGATACCTGAGGCTAGGTAGTTTATAAAGGAAAGAGGTTTATTTGACTTACAGTTCCACATGGCTGGGGAGGCCTCACAATCATGGCAGAAGGTGAATGAGGAAAAAAGTCACATCTTACATGGTGGCAGGCAAGAGAGCCAGTGCAGGGGAACTCCCTTTTATAAAACCATCAAATCTCGTGAGACTTATTTGCTATTGTGACAACAGCACAGGACAAACCCGCCCCCATGATTTATTACCTCTTCCCAGGTCCCTCCCACAACATGTGGGGATTATAGAAGCTACAATTCAAGATGAGATTTGGGTGGGGACACAGTCAAACTATATTGCATACTAAAGAAGAAACTATGTATATCCTTTAAGTTGCCAATATATTGACATACCTGTTTGTTTATTGACTTGTCACTGTTCACATATTCAAGATGCTTGGAAATAACACTCCTTTAACCATCTGAGGTATTTACAAGTTTGGCTTAATAAAAAGATCACACAGCAGAGTAAAGAGGAAGGGAACATGTACAATGGCATTCATCAGAAGAATTGTAGATTTCATATTCCCTTTCTTGGTAGCATGAGGTATTAGCTATAGAAACAAAATTCTGTGTGGAAAATCACCCATAGAAATATAAGGAACATACAATAATGTTTTAGCTCTTGAGCCAGACTGAGGTCAGTTGACCTAAATTTTGTGATAATGTGCATCTCTACTGGTATGAATTGGGCTCATATTTGTTTGTGTCTAGCTATGGTTCATTTATCTAGCTTGAGCTCAGCTGTGGGTGGCTCTGCTTCAAGGGTCCCTAATCCACACCTCATTCCCATGAACTTACTAGGAATGTTCTCACTCTCACGGCAATTTCAGAGGAACTTATGCACAGGTGAAAACACGTAGGGACCCTTGAAGTATATGTTTAGAACTGGCCCATCATCACTTTTGCTTCATCCTGTTGGCCAAAGGATATTGCATGGCTGAGGCTAATGTGGAGAAACAGAAAACTGCACACTGTTCACGTTTGAAGGGCCCTTAAGGTTATGGCAAAAGGTGTAATCCAGGGAGAAGTGCAGATGGTTGCCAATAACATAATCTACTTAACCACCTGAACAAGTAATAGTTTTAGAAACAGAAAGTCAATATTTGGAATGCCCGTTGTTTATTCCTCACTACCTAATTAACCTTCAGACTGTGGTACATTGCTTAGATTTCTCTCTTGTAATAAAAATTCCATTACCTCTGTGAAAGTTATCCTGAGAGAAAGAAATAAAAACAATTTATATAAGATGATTGTACGTGAATTTTCATTCACTTAAGTTTCTCTGCAGTTGAATTTCCTTCCTACTTTTGGAGAATCACTGAACTGTAAAGCAGAGACTGCTTCATATTATTTTAAACTGTGAAAACTACTGATATTTATCTTTTAGGCCCTTTAATACACAGTAAAATCCTTGATATAGGCTTCACCAATCAAACACACCTACCATAGACTTGAATTAAAATTTAATCATGTGAGAAGTCAAGGATGACAAGGCGACAGTGGCAGCTGCAGCCAGTTCCTGTAGCTGCAGTTGTAGCAGTTTGAGTGACAGTATGAATGTCCTGTTTGTGAAGTCATCAGTGATGTAATCTGTAGTGTTTGTTACTAGTAAATACAAGGAGAAGAAAAATAATTTAAGCCCAAGAGAACCCCAAAATGTAGCTCACCCTGGCAATGTCTGGCCCATTTTCCCTAGACCTTTCATATTCTCTGGGTGATTTTCAACAGTATCTACATCCCTGAAGCTGAAAACTCCTTTCCCTTGGATTTTGGAAAGATCAGTTTCCTACATAGTTTTGGCAGCAGGCAGGATATGCAGGGAAATATAGCACCCAGTAGCAGCCCTCACCAATGATGCTTAGGAGTTAGGGTATAAAAACCACAGATACTTGACCCCATGAATGGGGCTGATAGAAGTGTGCGTTTGCATCCTTTCAGTGTTTCCCCAGTGGATTAAGCCTTAATAGCACTTTAGGGTAGCTGTCTTAATACTACAGTCATTAATAGGTGTTTATTCTATTATCAATTCCCTACTTCCTTAATCATTTCATTTTCCAAATCAACTACTTTTACTTGAATTCTAGAGGCTGGGTCTGCTTCTTAGAGAGTATACATTAAGGTGCTAGGTTTATATTTCTGATGGTAAGTGAAATGGTACAGCTTTAAAAAACACAACCACCTTACACAGTCAGAGGCAATAAAAATTCAGATTCCTTAAGAGTGAAGAAACTACAATGAGATTATCAGCTGACACCTGTTGGAATGTCTATTATCAAAAAGACAAAAGATAAGTGTTGACAAGGATGTGGATAAAAAAAAAATGCTTGTGTACTGTTGGTGGGAAAGTAAGTTAGTACATCCATTATGGAAATAGTAGAGAGGTTTCTCAAGAAATTAAAAATAGAAATACCATATGATTCAGCAAACCTATTTCTGGTTATTCAGACAAAGGAATTAAAATCAGTGCCTCAGAGAGATATTTATATCCCCATGCTAATTGCCCCACAATTGACAATAGCCAAGATATGGAAACAACCTAAATGTCTGTTGACAAATGGATTAAAAAAATCGTGCTATACAAGATATGTAACAAAATAATATTTAGCCTTAACAAAGAAGGAAATCCTGCCTTTTGTGACGACATAGATAAATCTGGAGGCAATTATGTGAGACGAAATAAGCCAGACACACAGAAAGATAAATACTGTGTGATCTCACATACATGTGGAATCTACAGTAGTCAAACTCATAGCAGCATAGAGTAAAATGGTGGTTTTCAGTGGCTCGGGGTAGGGAGAGATTGGAGATGTTTGTCACAGGGTACACAATTTCAGTTATGCAAGATGAATGAGTTCTGGAGATCTAATATATATCAATGTGGTTTTAACTAACATTATTGTATACTGTGAGCCTAAAATTTGCTAAGCAAGTAAATCTTAAGAGTTCTCATCAAAAAGTAATCATGTGAAGAGATAGATATATGAGTTTCAATATGGTGATTATTTTACAATACATACATATATCAAAACATCACTTGTACATCTTTAATATATACAATATATATTTGTTAATTATATATCAATAAAGCTGATAAAAATTCATGAAGATATATAGATAGATACATTACTTCACAGGGCAAAAACTTAACAACTGAGTTGTTGGCTGTGGTACAGGACTTGTGGTGTGATTAGCAAACCAAGGCAGTAATAAAAAACAACTACGATCTATTGACAATTAAAAAATGAAGACTTATGGGCATTAACTCATATTTCCTTTCTTGCTCTGTCATATGCATAGCTATATTAGGCAAATACTTTCCCTCTTCTGTACACTTCATTTTCTTTTTTCTTCAATAAAGGGTGTATGTTGTTGATAATATCAAGATAACATTTTAACAAAAGCAAGATTTTAATGGGCATGATTGGATGATTATGGTCTTACATTGGTTTCGGTAATTCATAGTAATTTGCTTTAACCCTTTCGATTGGAAGATTAACATGTATTTGATTGTACAAGAAATAATTGCATTATGTTAGAAAAAATGTATGATTTTAGAAGTATAAAGAAAAGAACAAATAATTATACTAATATTGCACAGCCAAAGTTGATGATGTTGAAACCATCTTACTATTATTTTTTTGCTTCTTATTAAATTAATGTGACTTGCATTTTTTCCACTATAACAAAATGCCTACTTCTAACAACAGAGTTTGAAATTTTTGGATTCTTGCTTCCCAAGTCTCTCTTGCTGTTAGTGTGTGTGCTTGGAAACTAGAATCCACCAATCTCATGCACCTGTCCCAGACATTGAATTAGAACCAAAAAAAATAAACGTCCACGGCCGTTATTTATGGTGGGGAATCAGTAGGATCCATCTCCAGTTCATAGAATAACAGTGGCAAGAGTAACCCTAGAAGAATTGTGGGTCAAGAGCAGTGTGAAGGCAATCCACCGTGTCTATGCCTGTTGGTAGGAGCAGCGAATCTTCACTCAACAGTCCTGTACTTGACTGTGATCACCTTTATTGGCTAGGAAGTGTCCAAGCCCAGTTCTCTAGCCCTCCTCAAGATCTTGGGAGCTACTCAACAAACTTTTAAGCTACATGATTACTCATAACATATATATGACAAAATTATATTATCTTAATAAACTGAAGTGGTATATACATGATCAGGCTCAAGGATATCCTGAAGGCACAAGTAAATTACATGAGGAAGTGGTTCAAATGCCCATGGTTTCCACTCCTGCCATGCTGCCTTCTCTCCCCCAGTCTGCACCTATGGCCTCATGGGGAGTTCCTTATGATCAGTTGACAGAGGAAAAGAAGACTAGGGCCTTGTTCACAGATGGTTCTGCACAATATGCTGGCACCACCTGAAAGTGGACAGCTGCAGCACTACAGCCCCTTTCTAGAAAATCCCTGAAGGACAGCGGGGAAGGAAAATCTTCCCAGTGGGCAGAACTTCAAGCAGTGCACTGGTTGTAGAGTTTGCATGGAAGGAGAAATGGCCAGATCTGTGATTATACACTGATGCATGGGCCTTAGCCAGTGGTTTGGCTGGATGGTCAGGGACTTGAAAGAAGTATGTTTGAAATTTGGTGTCAAAGAAATTTGGGGAAGAGGTATTTGGATGGACCTCTCCAAGTGGTCAAAAACTGTGAAGATATTTGTATTCCATGTGAGTGCTGAGGTCACCAAACAGTGACATCAGCAGAAGATAATTTTAATAATCAGGTGGACAGGATGACCCATTCTGTGGACACTACTAGCCACTTTTGCCAGCCACCTCTATGATCTCTCAATGGGCCCATGAACAAAGTGGCCCTGGTGGCAAGGATGGAGGTTACACATGGGCTCAGCAACATGGACTTCCACTAGCCAAGGCTGACCTGGTTATGGCCACTGCTGAGTGCCCAATTTGCCAGCAGCAGATACCAACACTGAGCCCTCAGTATGACACCATTCCTTGGGGTGAACAGCCAGCTAGTTGGTGGCAGGTTGATTGTAACTGGATGTCTTCTATCATGGAAAGGAGAGAGATTTGTCCTATTGGAATAGACTTACTCTGGATATGGGTTTGCCTGTGCTGCACACAATCCTTCTGCCAAGACTATCATCCCTGGACTCAAGGAATGCCTTATCCACCATCATGGTATTCCATACAGCATTGCTTCTGACCAAAGCACTCAATTTACAGCTAAAGAAGTGTGGTAGTGGGCTCATGCTTCTGGAATTCACTGGTCTTGCCATGTTCCCATTCATCCTAAAGTAGCTCTATTGGTAGAACGGTAGAGTGTCCTTTTGAAGTCACAATTACTATGCCAACTAGGTAACAATACTTTGCAGGGCTGGGGCAAAGTTCTCCAGAAGGCCGTGTATGCTCTGAATCAGCATCCAATATATGGTACTGTTTCTCCCACAGCCAGGATTCACGGGTCCAGGAATCAAGGGGTGGAAGTGGAAGTGGCACTACTCACCATCATCCCCAGTGATCCACTAGCAAAATTTTTGCTTTCTCTTCTCATGACATTATGTTCTGCTGGCCTAGAGGTCTTAGTTCCAGAGGGAGAAATGCTGCCACCAGGAGACACAGCAACGATTCTATTAAACTAGAAGTGAAGATTGCCACCTGGCCACTTTGGGCTGCTCCTACCTTTAAGTCAACAGGCTAAGAAAGGAGTTACAGTGTCGGCTGGGGTGATTGACCCGGACTATCAAGATGAAATCAGTCTACCACTCCACAATGGAGGCAAGGAAGAGTATGCATGGAATACAGGAGATCCATTAGGGTATCTCTTAGTATTACCATGCCCTATGATTGAGATCAATGGGAAACTACAACAGCTCAATCCAGGCAGGGCTACAAATGGCCCAGACCCTTCAGGAATGAAGTTTTGGGTCACTCCACCAGGAAAAAACCATGACCTGCTGAGGTGCTTGCTGAAGGCAAAGAGAATACAGAATGGGTAGTAGAAGGTGGTCATCAATAACAGCTACGACCATGTAACCAGCTGCAAAAATGAGGACTATAATTATTGTGAGCATTTCCTCCTTCTTTTGTTAAAAACATGTTTTGCATGTATACACTTGTACTAAGAAAACAGCTTCATTCTATTTCCCTTTTCCTTTATCATGTGACGTAAGATTTATTGACTTCCTATCAGCATTTCAGTGTTAACTTTATGGAATAGAATTTGGTTTGGGGGTTGGTGTGTTTCCAGTTGTATGAATGGTAGTTGCATTATGTTAGGCATAATTATGACCTTATTATTGTCTTTATTTGAAGATTATGTATGATCTCAGGAGATGTGTATGGGTTCAAGTTGACAAGGGGTGGACTTGTAATAGTTAATACTGAGTGTCAACTTGATTGGATTGAAGGATGCAAAATTTTGATCCTGGGTATGTCTGTGAGGGTGTTGCCAAAGGAGATTAACATTTGAGTCAGTGGACTGGGAAAGGCAGACCCACCCTTAATCTGGGTGGGCAGCATCTAATCAGCTGCCAGCACAAAAACAGGCAGAAGAACATGGAGAGATTAGACTGGCTTAGTATCCCAGCCTACGTCTTTCTCCCATGCTGGATCCTTTCTGCCCTCCAACATCAGACTTCAAGCTCTTCAGCTTTGGGAATCAGACTGGCTTCCTTGCTCCTCAGCTTGCAGATGGAATATTGTGGGACTTTGTGATCGTGTGAGTTTCATACTCCTTAATGAACTCCCCTTTATATATACATATCTATATATACACATATATATGTATATGTATATGTATATATAGAGAGAGAGTGAACACAAGAGAGAGAGAGAGAGAGAGAGAGAGAGAGAGAGAGAGAGAGAGATCCTATTAGTTCTATCCCTGTAGAGAACCCTAATACACCCTGTCTCTACTAAAAAAAAAGTACAAAAGTTAGCCAGATGTGGTGGCACATGCTTGTAATCCCAGCTATGGTGGCATATTCTTGTAATTCCAGCTACCAGGG
Organism: Homo sapiens; assembly: GCF_000001405.40. Lineage (NCBI taxonomy): Eukaryota > Metazoa > Chordata > Mammalia > Primates > Hominidae > Homo > Homo sapiens. The sequence goes on from NC_000013.11 coordinate 84,907,884, forward strand.
AGGCTGAGGCAGGAGAATTGCTTAAACCCAGGAGGTGAAGGTTTCAGTGAGATGGCACCAGTGTACTCCAACCTGTGTGACAAGAGTGAGGATCTGTCAAAAAAAAAATTAGATAATCTATTAGTGCTATAAATAGCAAAACCACTAATGGGGATGAATATGTCTGTATGTCTGTGTGCGCTCACTCACACACATACATATTATTATTTTCTGAGTCAAATTGCAAACAGAATTAGAAATAATACAAGGTTAAATTCCACAATCAGAGAACAAAAAACAAAGTGAAAGTAAAATAAAGAATAAAAATCCAATTCAAGAAAAAAATTGTCACAGATAGGTTTCACTAGTCAAACAGTAGTTAACTTTACAATAAAAATTTAGCATAAACATCATTTTTATTCTCCTGGTATTTATTTCATAACCATTAATTTCTAGAATTATTTTATTTTACTCTTTTAATTTGGTAGATTAAATGGTTTATATATGTGAAAAAGTCTCTTTGCTGCCACCTCGCTAAATGATTTACCACATTATGAGGATACTATTATAGTAATTAAAGGTTCCTAATATCTTAATTTCTTCCTTAAATTTCTAAAATAATTTCAGTACATTTAAAAATGCTTTAACATCCCACCATCTAGAAGTTTCATTATTTATATTTCATAAACATCCAACATTAAATGTTGGCAAGGATGTAGAGCAAGAGAAATGCTCATTCATTATCAGGGGGATTGCAAAATAGCACAGCCATTTTGTAAGATAGTTTGACAGTTTCTTACAAAGCAAAATATATTCTTACCATAAAACCCATCAGTCATGCTCTGTAGTATTTACCAAAACAAATTAAGCAAACTCTTATGTACATTACACATTGCACACAAATGTATGGGGCAGCTTCATTTATAATTCTCAAAAAGTGAAAGAAACCAATGTATTCAATACCATAGAAGATGATTGTTTATCCTTTTAATACTTTTTAGTATGGAAAACAAACATATTCATTATATGCACTGGAATATACACCTCTTTTCCCTATCACTTCGTCAAACTGATTTATTTTTACATTTATGACTACACATCAACTGACATAATTAGTCCTTTATAGTTACATTTCATTTTTTGATTTAGTTACATGTTTTTCCAAATTTAATAATTGATTTTTAAAAATTTGCTAAATTTATTAGGTAACAGATTATTCTCTTCCTCACATTTCTGAAATAATTTCAACACATTTAAAAATGAACAGACACTTCTCAAAAGAAGACATTTATGTGGCCAACAAACATTTGAAAACAAATCATCATCATTGGTCATTAAAGAAATGCAAATCAAAACCACAATGAGATACCATTGCATTCTAGTTAGAATGGCGATTATTAAAAAGTCAGGAAACAACAGATGCTGGTGAGGCTGTGGAGAGAAATAGGAAACCTTTTTTTTTTTTTTTTTTTTGAGATGGAGTCTTGCTCTGTCACCCAGGCTGGAGTGCAGTGGCAAGATCTTGGCTTACTGCAACTTCTGCCTCCCGGGTTCAAGCAATTCTCCTGCCTCAGTCTCCCGAGTAGTTGGGATTACAGACGTGCGCCACCAGGTACAGCTGATTTTTGTATTTTTAGTAGAGATGGCGTTTCCCCATGTTGGCCAGGCTGGTCTCAAACTCCCAACCTCAGTTGATCCACCCACTTCGGCCTCCCAAAGTGCTGGGCTTACAGGCGTGAGCCACCACACCCGGCCATAGGAATGATTTTACTCTCCTGGTGGGAGTGTAAATTAGTTCAACCATTGTGGAAGACAGTGTGGAAATTCCTCAGGAATCTAGAACCAGAAATACCATTTGACCCAGCAATTTCATTACAGGCTATGTACCCATTGGATTATAAATCATTCTACTATAAAGACACATTCATGCGTATGTTACTGCAGCGCTATTTACAACAGCAAAGACTTGGAACCATCCCATATGCCCATCAATGATAGACTGGATAAAGAAAATGTGGCAAATATACACCATGGAATACTATGCAGTCATAAAAAAGAATGAGTTCATGTCCTTTGCATGAACTCATTGGACATGGATGAAGCTGGAAAGCCATTATTCTCAGCAAACCAACTCAGGAACAGAAAACCAAACACCACATGTTCTCACTCATAAATGGGAGTCAAACAGTCAGAATACACGGACACAGGAAGGGGAACATCACACACTGGGGCCTATCTGGGGGTTGGGGGCAAGGGGAGGGAGAGCATTAAGACAAATACCTGATGCGTGTGGGGCTTAAAACCTAGATGATGGGTTGATAGGTGCAGCCAACTACCATGGCACATGTATACCTATATAACAAATCTGCATGTTCTGCACATGTATCCAAGACTTAAAGTAAAATTTAAAAAATAAAAATAAAAATAAAAAATACTTAAACATCACACCATCTAGAAGTTTCATTTCTTGGTGATGTCCTTCCTGGATAAGGTTACTTAAGTTCAGTAGATAAATTAAAAAAGAAAGAAAGAAAATCAGTTAAATTTGAAATTTAAATAAATGAATAATACTTTATTATGAATATGGATCCTCCACTATTTGGGACGTATTTACACTTAAAAATAGTTCCTCTGGAACTGAAATCTAACTGGGATCACCTATGTTATCTGTCAGCCTATCTAATGGATGTATTTGCTCCTGATAATTATCTTTATTGCCCTTTTATCATAAATTTCCCATTTTCTGCATTCAGTTTCTTCATTTTTCACAAATCAGTACATTACATTAATTGAAAACATCTGCCAGTAGCCACATGACATACTAAATGGAAAGCAGTTCTTAGAGAGTTTCCATATTTAATCTACACTTAATACTTTGACCAGACATAGAGTTATAAGTACATATATATTTTTTTCTAAAGAATTTCAATGTGTTTTCCATTTTAATCGGCTTCCAGTCCTGCTGTTAAAAATTTCATTCCATTTTGATACTTGATCATTTAGAGCACCACCGTTTTTTCTTTTTTAATTATTTTAGAAACTTTTTCTTCCCTAATCAGAATTTTGTGATGATCTTTGATGGAAGTATTTTTATTCATTTTGTCTGGCACTTTGTTATTGACTGAAAACTAAAGATAAATAAAGTTCATATTAGTAGACTTTACAACCAAGAGAGATATTTTACAGTATATAAATTAATAACATGAGATTCAAAATTGGGGGCATTAATAAGGAGGAATGAAATTGCTTTTGAAATCAGGAATAAGGTTAAAGAAAAACAAAAAAAAAAAAGTCCATACCACGCTTCTGGGCTCATTTGTACAAGCACAGGGAGGAGAGAAAATGCGTTATGTAATCAAAAATTTTGAAGGTAGCATTGACCTTGGTGGAGACGTAGGATCGTTCAGATTGTAAGTTAATGATTTAGGGATTTTCATGAAGATGGATGGTAAGTTTCAGATTGTATATTATACTAATTTTTAAATGTAGGGAGCATGAGAGGTGAGGAAGTAAATTCTGCGCAGAGGTATATTAAAAGTGCAGACAATTATGGGGAGTAATTCGAAGTAGATAAACAGAGGCCTGGAATTCCAATGCTTCTAGGGGTGATTTACATAAACAAGGATAAAGAGCAGAATATTCATCATGATGCCTTATCAGAATTAAAGTGGAGTCAATACTTTCTGTTGTTGTTTTTAAAATATTTTATGATTTTTTAGATCAGCAAACTGTATTTACTATAATGAAGAAAAATGTAAATACATTAAAGTATTATTTCTAATATATAAAAATATATAACTTATTTTCTTCCATTTCCCCTCAAGATAAATGCCTGTGCCAGACTATTTTAGGTAGGCATTGGTGAGTAAACTAATTTTGCCTACTTTTAACAAGCTTAGAATTTTGTTAGGAGAAAGAAATTAATGAATGAACTTTATTGCAAGTGTAAAATTTGTCAGTAATAAATAATGTGACCTTGTTTATGTTACAGACTATGTCTAACTTAGCTGAAACAAAGACAAAGAAATAAAGATTCCTATATATATATATATATATATATTCAAGATAACTTTGTATATACTTTTCCTGATAAGAAGACACATAATTCAAAATACTAGTGATATGAATATTACAGTTTACTTCTTTTGTGTCTCACAATAAAAAACCATACACTTAAACTTCCTTAGGGAAGTGAATTTTGATCTACATTCCTAGGTGTGGTGCTTGGCTAATGAAAAGAGCTATTTCAACATGGTAAATAAGAACAGAACAAAATACACATTCATAATCCCTAAGTATCTAAATTAGGTTACAGATTAATGGATTGGTGGGTAGTTCTCAACACCCTCTGTAGTGATGAAAGTGGCAGACAATTCAATGAGAATCATGAATTCTCTTCATTGTAATTAGAATTCTGTAGAGCTCTCTACTAAATATTACATTTGGGGTCAGGTGCAGTGGCTCACGCCCATAATCCCAGCACTTTGGAAGGTTGAGGTGGGAGGATCACTCAGAGCCCGGAGTTAGAGTCCAACCTTGGGCAACAAAGTGAGATCCCCATCTGTACAAAAAATAAAAAATAAAAAAAAGGAACAATTAGCTGGGTTTCATTTCACATGTCTGTAGTCCCAGCTACTCCAGAGGCTAAAACAGGAGAATTCCTTGAACCTAGGAGTTCAAAGTTGCAATATCATATAACCTATAATCATACCACTCCCTTCAGCCTGGGAAACAGATCAAGACTCTACGTAAAATAAAACAAAACAAAAGATTATGTTTGTATTGAAAAGGTTGCTAAAAAAATAGAATTGGTTTTCAGGACATAAACCAAATCGATAAGATCAAATGCACCAGCTTGTGCGTGGAGACTGGGTATACAGTTTTCTCCACATCAATTTTCAGCATAGGGACTCTTTCATTATTGCCAAAAGAATAAAACCTCTAACATTACCAGCAGACGGACACACTCTGACAGTACCAAACAATGCCTCTATTTTGCATAAATATTTCCTGAAAGCTGTTTGTCATCTAAGTCACTCCTTGTTCTGGGTAATTGCTATAATCCTTTGCTAAGTATTTCCTGAGTCTTGTATCTGACATCATGTTTCTACCTATGACCAATAAAGGTGTATGCCACTCTTTTCAGTAGGAGCTTAATTATAGTGATTACTAAGTTTTGCTGTTTAGCAAAACTTAACACAAGGAACACTCATTCTGCTTTCCCCCTTTTCCCAAAGCCATTCACCATGTTGCAGAAAGCAGGCAGCTTACCTTCCACAGTGGATCCTGGATCCACATACCACCTTGTGCAATCTAGACTCCTCTGCACCTAAAAAGATTATCCAGGCCCTGTTGTCTCTGTGCAGTTGACATTGTGTACATACTAATGAATAGTTTTTGATTCCCCGAGAACAGTAAGTAGGAATTTGTCTTATATATGTATACTTAAACTGTTCACCAAAATTGGCCATGCCAAAGAGAATGCCACAAGTATAAATTATAATTTTTACCCTAGAAAAAATAATTTGATTGCATCTCTAAATTTAGTATTCAAGCTTTTGTGAGGATAAACCACTTTTGCATGAATATTTTGCAGAGATGTTAGTACAGGTTGTATCAGGAAACTGTCCAGATGACATTTTAAACTTGATATCCAATATATCATGCTTTATTATTACAAGAATCTAATCAGACATAATGCAATTTATCTCTGTGACCACAGGCTTCTTCTAAACAGAATCTCCTAATTCAAATATTTTTGGGTTTCTGCTGTTTTTTTGAGCTGAAATATGGGAAACCAATTTTTTCCTTCTCCCTACTTGGCCTGTCTTATGCCTTGTAACAAACATACTTGACTTATTTTTTATATTCTTCCTCATAGGATACTTTTTTGTTGTTTTATTTTTTCTAATTTTAGCCTTTCTAAAACAAGAAGAATATTAATTTGAAATTAGAAGAAAATTTTTCCTAATAATCTACTGGCTGTGTATCAGTGTATTAGTCCATTTTTCTACTGCTATGAAGAAATACCCAAGACTGGGTAATTTATAAAGAAAAAGAGGCAGCCAGGCACGGTGGCTCACACCTGTAATCCCAGCACTTTGGGAGGCCTAGGCGGGCCAATCACGAGGTCAGGAGATCGTGACCATCCTGGCTAACACGGTGAAACCCCGTCTCTACTAAAAAAACACAAAAAAATTAGCTGGGCGTGTTGGTGGGTGCCTGTAGTCCCAGCCACTCAGGAGACTGAGGCAGGATAATGGCGTGAACCCAGGAGGCGGAGCTTGCAGTGAGCAGAGATCGAGCCACTGCACTCCAGCCTGGGCAACTGAGCGATACTATGTCTCAAAAAAAAAAAAAAAAGAAAGAAAAAGAGGCTTAATGGACTCACAGTTCCACATGGCTTGAGAGGACTGACAATCATGGCGGAAAGTTAAGAAGGAGCAAAGGCACATCTTACATGGTGGTAGGCAAGAGAGCGTGTGCAGGAGCACTGCCCCTTATAAAACCATCAGATCTCATGAGACTTATTTACTATCACAAGGACAGCATGGGAAAACCTGCCCCCATGATTCAATTACCTCTCACCAGGTCCCTTCCATGACACTTAGGGATTATGAGAGGTACATATCAAGATGAAATTTGGGTAGGGACATAGCCAAACCATATCAATCAGCAAAATGAATCAATTTAATCCAATTAGTAATTCCTAGCCTCTTGCCTATCCAAGCTTCTTGGGCTATTTGATATTGCACTGTCAGTTTTAACTAATCAAGGATTTTGTCAGTGGCAAACCTGAGAGGTCTGTTGAAAGGAAGTGGGCTAGAAGCTGGTAATGCTGAGCTATTTATTACATGGTCATGCAAGTTTGATCCCAAGGAAAGGACTGAGAATAAAACTGTGTGTAAAAGAATCCTATACTGCTTTTTCAGTCTAAGAAAAGTTCAGCAGAGAGATAGGAGAGTTCTGGAGCCAACACTGATTGTTAGGAGACGCCCATGTCTTCCCAAATTAGGCCAGGTAAGTGTCCTTACCACTTTCAGTCATTGGCTTGATTAGTCAGTGAGAAATTTATCTTCAGTGCAAATGTGGCTGATAAATTCCAGAGTACAGCAGCTAGGGTTCTTGGTCAACCATGCTCCCATTCTCATGACCACCAGTGTCCACTCACGCTTGCTGTAGAGCTCAAAATCTCCACACAGGTTCATGGATCAGTTCCATGGTTACCTGGGACATATTTAAGGAAAAATATAGGAAAACATTACTGCTTTGAAGTTAACCCTACTGATGCAGTTGATCTAAAAATATCTGACTGATACTCACCCTCCTTCCATCATTATCCATTTCAAACTTTTTCCAACCTTGCTTGGTAGTGTGAGTGTCAAACTTTCATTCTTGAAGTACCTGATTCTGCAATAATCATAGCCTTCTTCTTCACCTAGGGTTGCAGCATTCACAGTTAAAATGAGGCAAAGGAGTACCAATGGAACAAGAAGCACCCAAGTAGATCACCCGGGTTTCATACATATTTCTCCCTGCTCCATTGCATAATGACAACCGTTTTTCCTTTTACTGATGAAGGTCAATTATTCCTGACATTCTGTGACTCCTCTTTTTGCCTGGTGATCCCTGGGCACATGAATTTTGAAGTTACCCTATTGGTCTATAGTTAATTTAAACTTAACTATAACTTATCGTTAAATGGGACCCTTGTTATGCCCCCTGCCCCAGTGCTACACTGTGTGGGATTCAAGCCTGTGGATCAAGCATTCCTTAAGCATGTATGTGGTACTAATAACTAAAGCTCTTTGTGTAATGAAAGCAAACCCGTATAAGAATCTATCACTCGGCCGGGCGCGGTAGCTCACGCCTGTAATCCCAGCACTTTGGGACACCGAGGATGGTGGATCACGAGGTCAGGAGATGGAGACCAACCTGGCTAAAACAGTGAAACCCCGTCTCTACTAAAAAGATAAAAAATTAGCCATGCGTGGTGGCAGGCGCCTGCAGTCCCAGCTACTCGGGAGGCTGAGGCAGGAGAATGGCTTGAACCCAGGAGGCGGAGCTTGCAGTGAGCCGAGATTGCGCCATTGCACTACAGCCTGGGTACACACAACAGAGCAAGACTCCGTCTCAAAAAAAAAAAAAAAAAAAAAATCTATCACTCTAAGAACAAAACTTCTGACCCTTCCAACTTCAGAATTTTCTGAGAAATAGATGCCAACAAAGGATTAAATAAAATTAAATGTGTGAACCTTTTATTAGAAAAAAAATCTGAGAAAACGTGGAGAGAAACCTGGGTCTTGGAGAGCCATCAGATTGTGTTTCTAAGTGTAAAGGAGATAGAAAAAGAAGGTTGGTGGAAGCTTTCCAGATAGCAGTGCAATCTAAGAAAAGTTTATCAAAGCTATCGAGGAGTTTGTGAGTCAAAGATGGCTGTCAGAAATGTCCTCCTGTCTCCTCAAAATAAGCCTGTTTTTGTACTCATAGCATACTCGGTTATTGGCTAGCAGTGAGATGGTAGAAAGCATGGCCTTGGGGAAAACATGAAAATGGATTTTAAAGCATAGTAACTGGGGCTTCTGGTCAACCATGCTGTCTAATGGGAAAGTCAGGCAGTGTATTCTCATTACTGACACACTTGTATTCTTATTCATTAATTGAATAGTTCCTGCTGATAATCAATACTTATTTGTTAAATTACTAATCAAAACGTTACAAAAATGTATTTGAACTTATCTTTTTAGAATTGTACTTGAGCCCATTGATCAAATGCAAAATAAATCCACAATTATATTTTATAATGACTTATTTTCATTTTACCATTTGTCCAATTCCTATTCCCCTTCTATTACCTAGCGTGGTTTTAAAACATTTTTGGTGGTGGTTCTTGCCTTCATTCACAGAGCATGATATATTTTCATTACTGATGATGTTCAAAATAGTTTTTGTGTAAAATATGTGTATGGGCAAAAATATAAACTCTGCACATAGATGAACTCTATGCTATATTGAAAAGAAATCAACATGAGGAGTGAGGTGTGTTCACACAATTCTATATATATTATTTTAATATCACTTATTTTTCAACATTTAATATTTTATAAACTATTAGGGCATATTTCGTCAAGTAAATATTAAATTTATTCTGACAACTTCCATGAACCATCAACCTCTATTTTCACAAAAATCCAACAAATGTTATTATAAAAACTTATTAGAGATTTTTAAATAAATCTTTTGAAGTACAATTTTCTTAATATCAAAACACGCATACATAATAAATACATGCTTTTAATGGTATATATTATTTAATAGTATGAGAACATTTTACTGATTTTATAAACATATTAATATAAAAAGAATAAATTTTAATACTATGAAGTGTCTATATCTATAGCCATATCTGTCTCTATTTCTATATATATAAGCACACACATATACAGACATACATTTTATTTATTCCCTGGGAAATTTCTTGAAGAAACCTAAAATTATACTTAATGAATAAGAATTAGTCTGTAACATTTGCAATGTTGTTATGCATTATATTCAATACATGATACATTTCCCTCAAATTTCACTAGATGGTGCTATGTATTAAATATAACAAATTTTATGTTTAGTAACAGAGTTCATCGTAATAAACTATCTATTAACATGCTATTATATTTATGACTATAAAACAGGAAACTTGTATTATATGACTGTTTTTATTCATTTATGGGCCTCTTTCATGAAAAGACCTACCGACACAAGTGATGAGAAGGCAAAAACAGAAAGTGAAGACCTCTTTCCCCTAAAATGACTGTTGAGGTTGTTTAATGGTGTGTGAGAGCTTATCAAATTTTCCCTGGCTCACACCCACCTACTGTGTTATCACTTATCTTTTTTGATGGCTAATTAAGTTATAATTTATAAATTCCATATAAAACGTATTTTCTAAGATGTGCAGTAATTATTGATATATACTAATTGACCATACAGAATTAATCCGATCAACCATTAAAAAATTCAGGCACTTATTTTTAAATTACATATCACAAGTGTTATCAGATCAAGTTGTTGGGATCCCTGTCAAAGAAGGTCAAATGAAAATCTTTGAAGATCATAGAAGCATAGTCGTTACTTTCTAAATATAAGTAAGCCTATCCTAGATACAAGGCCTTATAAACACTCAGAAATGATAATCTCATAATCTTCTTTTGCTTTTGTTTGAATATATGTTTTATTCCTTATCATGACTGTCTCTAGTATGTTTAGTTTAAGCCAAACTTGTTTATAGAAAAAATTCATTTTGTGATTTACATCAAGAATTTTTAGCCTCAGTACTGCTATTGATGATAGAGCAAAACATGGTCACTGAAAAGTACAAATAGACAAAGGATTATGAAAACGCCTGGATCCTACCATGTAATATACCACTTCTTGGTCTACTGATTCAGATATGTTTATAATCATGAATATAAATGCACTCTAATTCAAGCCTAACCTGATTAGATCTGCATAAACTTTCAAAGGTTAATCAAGTCAAGTGAAGTGCAGCACAACTGTATATGTAGGTTCTCACCCTTAGCAGACTTTCCATATGAAGTGGGATTGCATTTCTTTTACTTTTTCCTAACATCAAGTTATGAATGCATGAGCCTTTGTCAGTTCACTTATTAGAAATTAGTTCCACCTGAAGTGTCTGCCACAAGTTCTTCTGCAAATAACACTGGTAAAGTTAAAACTCTGAAAGGAGCAGTTACCGTATTCTTCTGACCTTGGCTAATGTTGCATTCTCACATTGGAGGGGGCTGCTCATTCTTCTCAATGCTTGCCAGTTGAAACTCTTTGGAACTAAGTAGTCACAATTTCTGCCTAAGGTATTCACTTCTGAAATTCATGCTGACTTTGCTGATGGTACCGTGAATGCTGCTGATGTTATAGTTACTAACAAAGAAGTGGTTTGGCATTGCTCTTTCTTTGTAGTCTACTTCCACTTTGCCAAAAAATGTATAGCATCCCTACCACCATCACCAATATCAACAGAATCATTCCAACCTCCTTAGTTATTAGAATCTGGCTTATAGAAAAAAGGAAATTTCTCCATATCCCCACTACTTCCAGGTTGACCTTTTATTTGATGTTAAAAATGGAAGTATTAATTTTATCAGATAAAAATTAATAACAAACATTTAAGCACTCCTCAAGTATTTGGAAATTAAGCACAGCATTTTTAAATAACACATTGATCAAAAAGAAAGTTTTCAGAAAACTTAGAAAATATTTTAAGATAAATAAAATCACAAATGCAACATATCAAAATTTGTGAGTTGCAGATAAATCAGTACTGAAACAGAAACAGCAAAAAATCCATGTTTAAGAAAACAGGGCCCCAGTCAATAATCCAAGTATACAACTTAGGAAAATATTTAAAGAAGAATAAATTAAGTCCAAAGCAAGTGGAATAAAGAAAATAGTAAATATAAGAGCTGAAAGTATTTAAACTGGAATCAGAACAGCAAGATAATAGCAGTGAAACAAAACCTGCTTCTTTGAAAGAAAAATTGACTAATCTCTAGCAAAACTGACCCCACACATAGACACAAACACAACACACAAATTATTCATATCAGTAATGAAAGGAAAAACATCCCTGCAAATATTAAAAGATAATAAGTAAATACAGGTAGAGTATTCTTTATCAGAAATGCTTGAGACTGAAAGTCATTCATATTTTGGACCTTTTCAAATTTGGGACAATTTGCACATACCTAATGAAATATCCTGTGGATATGACCTAAGCCTAAATACAAAATCCACTTGTGTTTCATATACACTTTATACACAGAGTCTAAAGATAATTTTATATAATACAGGTCGAGCATCTCTAATCCAAATATTCAAAATTTGAAATACTCCAAATTCCAACACTTTTTGAGCAACAACATTACACCACAAGTGAAAAATTCCACACTTGATCTCATGTGAGGTGTTTCAGTAAAAATGCAGTCAAAACTTTCTTTTATGCACAACATTACTGAAAATACTGCATAAAATTACCTTCAGGCTCTGGGTGTTAGGTGTATATTAAACTTAAATGAATTTCGTGTTCAGAGTTGGGTTCCACTCCCAAGATATCTGATAAGGTTTGGCTCTGTGTCCCCACCCAAATCTCACCTTGAATTGTAATCCCCATAATTCCCACGTGTCAAGGATGGGACCAGCTGGAGGTAATTGAATCATAGGAACCGTTTCCTCTGTGCTGTTCTCATGATAATGAAAGAGTCTCAAGAGAGCTGAGGTTTTATAAGCATCTAGCATTTCCCCTGCTTGTACTCATTCTCTCTCCTGCTGCTCTGTAAAGAGGTGGCTTCTGCCATGATTGTAAGTTTCCTGAGGCTTCCCCCACCATATGAAACTGTGAGTCAATTAAAACTCTTTTCTTTATAAATTACCTAGTCCTGGGTATGTATTCATAGCAGCACAAGAACGAACTAATACAATATCTCATTATATATATGCAAATATTCTCAGATCTGAAAAAAAACCAGTATGAAATCTGAAACACTTCGACTCTCCAGCATTTTGGATAAGGAATTTTGTACACCCTTTACATAAATTCACGTGTGGAAAATGTATATACATATGAAAAAACATGAATAGATAGGGTTTATATAAGTAATTAAAGGCTAATTTATTATTTATAATATTTATGATAATTCACCATATTAACAGAAAGTAGAAGAATAGCACTATGATCACCTCAATAGATTTAGATAAGACTTTGGCCAACATCTGATCATGATAACAACTTTCAGTAAATTATGAATAGGTGATTAGTTCCCTAAACTATCTATCCTAATGCAAATCTGCAAAAAACCTACAGGTAACATCATATTAAATAGTGAAAGATTGAACAGTTTCACTGAAAGATGAGTGGCAAGGCAAAGAGATCCACTTTTACCAGTATCATTGAGGTGATACTGGAAGTCTAACCTATTAAAATACAGGAGGAAAAAGTTATTTATGAACTGGAAAGGGAAAATAAAAATTTCTCTAATCAAATACATTTTGATTGTCCATGGACTCTACACAAAACCTCCAAGAAATGATGACAGTTCAGCAATGTTTTCAGATACAAGCTCAATATACAAATTTCAATTGTATTTCTAATTATCAACAATGAATAAATAATTCTAAAATGTGTATTTAAAAGCAGAGAATTTAGAATAGCAAAAATAGTTTTGAAAAAGAACAAAGTTGGAATAGTTACCTGATTTTATGATTTCCTAACAGTAGCAATAATCAAGACATCATAGCATTAGTGAAAAAAATAGACAAAGCAACCCATATAGTATGGAATAGAGTTATAAGATCAACACACATATGTATAGTTCATTGATTTTCAACAAAGATGCCAAGGCAGTTCAATGAAGAAAGGAGACTTCGACAAATGTTATTGGAAAACTAGACATCTATATGGAAAAACAAAAACAAACACAAAAACATTACTCATACTTGACACCTTAGAACAAAATTATATCTACATAGATCACAGACCTAAATACAAACTTTATACCTATACAAATTAGAAAATAAATTTAGGACATTTTTGTTGTTTTTTTCGAAGTATTTGTTGGTTTTTAATATTCTAATCTGGTGTACTATAGTGCAACTTCCTTATCCATTTTCTCATAAAATATATTTCAGTTTTTCTCCAGGTTGGGACTATTATGCATGATGCTGCTTTGAACATCACAATACAACTTTTTATGTTAATATATTTTCTTTTCTGTAGGATAAATGCCCAAGAATTAAATTTCTATTTCAAAAATTGATTTTAATTTTAAAATGTATGTAAAAATGATTTTTCCAGGGTCAGTGCTCCATTTTACTTTTCTATCAGCAGAAAGAAGAGATAACGTTATTCTGCAACAGTTCCAGGAATTTCTTATGTAGTTTTTTAAAAATAATTATTTTAATAGATAAGTACTAATATCTCACTATGATTTAACTTTAGTTTTGCTAATCGCTAATTAATTCAAGCATTTTTCAAAGGGCTTATTTACCACATTGAAATCTTTTTTAGTCAAGAATCTTGTCAATTTTCTTGACCATTTTAGAACTGTGTTTTCAATTTACAAGTGTTTGCCTCAAGTTTACATCTTATGCCATGTGTCCTTATCATCATCATAGAGATTTTCTCAAAGTAAAATTTTAGTTCTGATAAATTTCATTTCATCAACTTTTTGTCTGGTAGCTTTTGTGTGTGTGTGTGTGTGTGTGTGTGTGTGTGTGTGTGTGTGTATTTTGTGTTTTGTCATGTCTAAGAACAATTTTTGCTAATCCTAGGTCATGAAGATCTTCTTATATGTGCTCTTCAAAAACATGGTATGTTTTTGAACATAATGTGCTTATTTATTAATGTTTTGAATTATTTTTGTTAGGATTTTATAGCTTTCCATAAAAAATCCTGCACATGCCTTCCTTGATCTATACCTAAGTATGTCAAGTTTTTTAAGCCATTGTAAATGGTATTTTTAAAATTTGGTTAAAAATATTGCATTGCTTATATAAAGAAATATAATAAACTATTTGTATGCTGATGTCTTATCCTGAGACCTTGTTGGATCACATATTATTTAAAGGAACCTTCAGTTTAGTTTCCTTGGTATTTTCTACATATGTCACCATGTATTCTACAAGCAGGAAAAAAATTTCAATGATTGCTTTCCAGTCTGTATGCTTTCTTCCCCGCCCCCGCCCCGGCCCCCCCGGCCCCCCCGCCCCGCCTTGCTCTGTTGCATTCCTTAGGACTTCTAGTACTATACTGAATAAGAGTGGAAAAGTAAAGATTCTTGCCATGTTACTGAAGTTAGGAGAACTGTATTCAGTCTTTTACCACTACATATTGTGATAAATATACGTGTTTTGTAGATTTTCTTCATTATTTTTGAGAAAATTAGAAGCGATTCCATGTTGTCTGAGTTTCTATCAAGAGTGGGTATTGAATGTTGATGAAATTCTACATTAATATGATCACATGATTTATCTTCATTATGGAACTCATCTTGCATCTCCAAAGTTAAATTATTTTAACCGATAAATAGAACTTTGGCTCTCAGTAAGGAATGTACATTTGAATGACATTTCCAATCGTAAGATGAGTAAGCCGTTTGTATTTTATTTTAAAATATATGATATTCTTTATATAACCTATTGACCTGTGTTAAAAATGTAGACTGTATACTACTTTGATATTTGAAACAAAAGAGAAAATTCCCAACAAAAGGTTGCTAAATCAGTTTAAATAATGTTTAATTATTTGTTTTTAAATCCCTCATGATTGATTTCTGCCTCTAGAAATTATACATATGTCATCTCAAAACTTAGTAGAGGATCCTCATAAATCAAAACCTGATAAAAAATATTATTCTTGATCTTTGGCCAATAATTACTGAAGTAGTTTTAAAATAATTGCTTATCTTTTTTACTATATTATTGTTATGACTTCTTTTGAAGATCAATCTGAACTTTGGAACACGTTTTTAAAAAAGTAACAAGAGTACATGTGTATGTTTACCTATTATGGGAAAAATAGCATGTAAAAAAATGTGTATATTATTTAAGATTTTGGAGTTCTCATTTTAGTGAAGACAAGCAATTCAAGAATAGAAGCCTCTCAGTTACAAAGTAACTAGAGGTCTAGTTACTTATTACTAGTTACTAATTAATGTTGCCCCATAAATTTGCTGTGCCTTACCTGAGCACATATATTGATTATATTATGTGAAAAGAAATAGCAGTTCACTACAAAAATAATTTTATGAATGTATGAGTTAGCCCTAGATACCTGAAATAATTTCCAAATATCTGAACAATCCTTTAAAATTCTGTGCACATTCATTTCAAAGATAAAACAGTAAAGCCTAAGCTAGTCCCTCATGAACCTCACTTCTGTTTGTCAACACATATCGCAAAATTATATACCATAGCACTAGAGTATACAAGTATCCTAGCCTCCATCCCATAAGCCATTAAATTTAAGCTGAAACTTTCAAAAGGGCAAGCAAAGTAAATCGTTAAGTATATATATTTAAAATGCCATGGATTTAGTACTTCCTGGTTTCTTTTTATACAGTGCTGAGCTAATACATTGTTTATAAACATCTTGAAAATCTCTGAAAACATCCTGTTCTGTGTTTGATGCAGAAAAGCTGGATGAAAGCTGAAATTTACTTAATGTGCTAGACATAAAGTTAATAGGTTTATAGCAGAAATACTTTTAGAACAATGTAATATCAGAAAAGTCCAGGGACTGTGGAACAAAATAAAGATTTCCTTGTTTGAAAGTGAATAATTGACTTAGAATAATTCCTTAATGATACTAATTTTTGTTACTGATGCTACCTTAATAATGCAAAATTTCCAATCTAAGATCCAAATAACACTGTGAGTTCATGGTATACTATGCAATATTCCATTATTCCATACTTAGATTTATCATAGCATTTGACCCATGATATGACAATTGTAAAATATGCCTATCAGTTTCCCTTATGATTTTCTTGGAACAAGGACTGTATCTTTACATCTTTGGATCTCTAGTAGCTGTGATATATCTTTCACCTGACAAGTAGCTAAAAATATGTTTTGCATAAATGATAAATAATATGATGAAAATCATCTTAGTAGACACAATACTTCATATAGAAAGTGCATAATTTCAAGAAAATCTAATTGGCATAATATGCCTAATATAACTGAATTCAGTTACACAGACTTGGTGGATTGAAGTTCTTGTATTTGCTCTTATCTGAGTATTTGACATTTCTGACTCTTATTTCCTTATTTGAATTGAAATATTATGAAGAAAAAATATATCACCAATGCAATACTGGGTTTATATTACCAGAGAAGAAACAGCTATTCTTTAAAGAGGAAAATTGAACTCGATTATACATGTGAGTTAAGATTTGTTAATTACTCTCAAAAACATATTTGCCCTTTCTTCTGAAGTTTTGAGTAAATTAGAAATTTATGGATATGAGCATGAAGCCCATAAATTCTAACAAACTTGAAAATTTGAGATACATATTTAAGAAAAATGATTGAGTCAGTGTCTGAGTTATTTAGTACCATGTTGTTAGAGTTATACACATAGCTAAATTAGAATTTCTTCATTTCAAATATATTTTAAGAACTGTAATTTTCTGTATGAAATGCTTAATATTATTCGCTTTTATAACTTTTCATCTAATAAAGGCTTTAGAGACATGACCCATAGGATTAAAATCATAATCTTCAAATCTTCTCTACTATATAAAAGGTCAAGATTAGTCAATGATTATTATTAGTTTTTTTTTTTTTTTGTCAATGGACTTACATTGAGCTTTGCCGTTTACTGCTACAGAAAACTGAAATTATAATGGCCGCTGAAAAGCTTTGCTTGTGATAAGGAAAATATAGAAATAAAACATAAGAAGAACAAATGATCTGAGAAATAAAATGATGGTATTAATCAATTATTTGATCCCACCCATCTAGATACTAGGGGGCACACTGATAGATAGCTCCAGAGACATTCAGAAAAGTGCTTTCCCTACTTTATGTCAGTTACAAAGCAAACATGAGTTCCACCTGTATTACTCAAAGAAGGAGTTGGAAGTCTGATTTTAAAAGCTGCTTGAAAATACGGTGTGTGAGTCAACATTTGCATGACATTATGGTTGAAGATTCTATATATATGTACAGCTGCCTGAAAACATGCTTTTTCAATGAATCATTAGTAGATTATAGGGACGGCTCATAAATCTATCCAATTAATATTGCAGAGAGATCACACAATCTTATGAGCTTATAAACTGTTATCTCCCATATTTTTTATTCTAAAAGCTTTTTGTTGACATCACTGCTGCGTAATATGCTTTGTCAAGAGTATTGTCTTTTTTGTTGGCTAGAGAAGGCACAATAGCTTTTCCGTGGAATTTACTTTTAATAGAATACCTTGTCTCTGATTGTAACAGCTGTTGATTATTATTTTTTGTTAAAGAAACAATTGATTTGTTCGTAAAATCGTGACAAATTGATGTGCTGCTGCTGATGAGTTGGCAACTTACTTTTTAATTATTTACCATTTAAAAGTCACATTTTCACCTCAATTTCGGTTAGTTTTGTAATACAAGGTAAGTAAAAGACAAAAAGGTTAGTTGATGGGCAGTAATGGCAGGGTCTAAAATGAGTAGCAAAGGTTTTTAAAGATCAACTTGACAGACTTCAAAGATTGTATTCTTAAGTACTTATTATGCAGATGACTGTAATTTGTGTGGAATTCAGTTTAAAGAAATTGAAAGTTACTGACATTATGTTTATAGAATTTTCCAGGATTTGAGAAAGTGTTTAAGAAATTATAAATTTCTCCTTTTAATGCTTGGTTAGATTTGTTTATTGAAAAAAAAAGTAACAGGAAGAATAAAACAAAGAAAGCTCTGACATCACTTTTTTCTCATTTTGTTTCATCCATGTCCATGGTTTTACTGCCTTAATGAAATTGAACGTGTGAACGTGTCAATGAGCACCCAGTAATAAAAACACTCTTAAACTGAAAGGTATTCCTTTCAAGTTTCTCTCCTCTTGATATAAGTAGCATATGAAAAGTAACAAAGTATATGTTTTCATTCTCCAAGAGTGAATTGAATGATTTGAAACCTTCAAAAGATCTTCATAGCCTAAAACAGTGGTCCTCAACCTTTTTGGCACCAGGGACTTGTTTCATGGAAGACATTTTTTCCACACACCAGGCTGGAGGGAGTGGTGGTTTTTAGATCTCAAGTGCATTACATTTATTGTGCATCTTATTTTATTATTATTACACTGTAATATATAATTAAATAATTATGCAACTCACTATAATATAGAATCAGTGGGAGCCCTGAGCTTGTTTTCCTGCAACTAGAAGGTCCCATCTGGGGTTGATGGGAGACAGTGACAGATTTATCCAAGGAGACTGGTAGCTACAGGAGATTGATTCCTGGACCTGCAACTCTACCCCACAAATACCAAAATCTGCAGACGCTCAAGTCTCTAATTTAAAAAATGGTATAGTATTTGTATATTACCTATAGACATTCTCTCAGACATTTTAAACTCTAATTACCTATAATACCTAACATAATGTAAATGCTATATAAATAGTTGTTATACTGTTACTTTAAAAATTTTACTAATTTTATTGTATTGTTATTTTTAAAATATTTTGATTCACATTTGGTTAAAGCAACAGTTGTGGAAAGCACATATATGAAGGTTTGGTTCTTGAACACCAAATTTGTTCTTTATCAAGATTGTTTTGGTGGACGTGGGGCCGAGATGGACAACTAGAAGCAGTGGTGATCTCAGGCTCCCATCGAAAAGAACCATAATTAGCATGTGAATCCTGCACCAGCAACCAAGATATCTAGGTTCTTTCATCGGAACTGACAAGGTAGGGGGGTGCGATCCATGGAGAGGAAGGAAGAGCAGTGTGGTACAGTGGCCCACCTGAGAGCCACACTGGGCAGGGGAGCCCCCACCCTCCAGCCAAGGGAGGCGGTGAGTGAGCATGCTACCCAGCCAGGGAAACTGTGCTTTTTCCCCCGAACTGTGCAACCCACGGATTGGAAGGTCCCACTCGTGGACCCACGCCACCGGGGCCTAGGGTTCCAACCCCAGAGCTGTACAGATTCTCAACAACCTCTCAGCTAGAATCCGCTTAAGCCTGCCGAGTTTTCTGGTGGAGGGGCGACCAGCACCACAGTTGCTGCTGCTTGCTGTCTGAGCCGTTTGAGCTTCTTGGCAGAGGGGCAGCAGCCAGCACTGAGACTCATAACTGCCTAACACATAAGCTCCCCGGGTTGGAGGAGGGCGGCACCCATCACTATAGCTCCAGGCTGCGCTTTTCCCCTGTTGAAGCCAGGGAAGCTGGATGGCTTTGTCCAAAGAGGTGTTCCCCACAGCCCAACACGTAAGCTGTGGCAGACTACAGACAGAGCGCATCTTCAGGCCTGATTCTGACCCATCCTTCCTCACTGGGTGGAGCCTCCCTGCAGGAACTCCAACAACTCCAGCCGGAGGCTCAGGGACAGAACCCTGATCTCCCTGGGCCCGAGCCCCTAGGGGGAGGGGTGGCCACAGTCTCTGCAGACCGGCAGACTTTGCCTTTCCTCCTGGTAGTTCTCAGGAATCTGGGTAGCCCAGACTAGTGGGTTTCTTCCCAGCCAAGCAGACCTCATCCACCAAGGGACAAAGTGCTTCATTAAACAGGCCCTGTTCCCTGTGCCACCCAACTGGGTGAGACTCTTCAACAGGGGTTGTCAAACACCCTATACACAAGCGACTCTACTGGGATCAGGTTGGTGCCCCTCAAGGTCAGAGATCCAAGAAGAAGGAGCAGGCACCCATCTTTGCTGTTCTCCAGCCTCCTTCAGTGACATCTCCAGGCGAGGGATCTATCCAGATGAATAAGGCCTGAAGTGAACCCCCAGCAAACCGCAGCAGCCCTACAGAAGAGAGACCTTCCCATTGAAAGAAAAACAAACAAACAGAAAGCAACAACAGCAGCATCAACAACAAAAACCTCCCCACAAAAACCCTATCCAAGGGTCAGCAGCCTCAAAGATTAAAACTAGACAAACTGATGAAGAAGAGAAAGAAAGAATGAAAAAATGCTGAAAACCCAAAATGTCAGAGTGCCTCTTCTCCAAATCATTGCAGTGCCTCTCCAGCAAGAGCACGGAACTGGATGGAGGGTTAGATGGATGAAATGACAGAAATAAGCTTCAGAACAGAACAGAACAGAGACCTCAGAAATAACACCACACATCTACAACCATCTAATCTTTGACAAACCTGACAAAAACAAGCAGTGGGAAAAGGGTCTGTTATTCAATAAATGGTGCTGGGAAAACTGGCTCGCCATATGCAGAAAACTGAAACTGGACCCCTTCCTTACACCTTATCCAACCTTAACTCAAGATGGATTAAAGACTTAAATGTAAAAGCCAAAACCATAAAAATCCTTGAAGAAAACCTAGGCAATACCACTCAGAACATAGGCATGGGCAAAGACTTAATGATGAAAACACCAAAAGCAATTGCAACGAAAGACAAAATTGACAAATGGGATTTAATTAAACTAAAGAGCTTCTGCACAGCAAAAGAAACTTATTATTAGAGTGAACAGGCAACCTAGAGAAAGGGAGAAAATTTTTGCAATCTACCCATCTGACCAAGGTCTAATATCCAGAATTTACAAGGAACTTAAGCAAGTTTACAAGAGAAAAACAACCCCATCAAAAAGTGGGCAAAGGATATGAACAGACACTTCTCAAAAGAAGACATTACTCAGCGAACGAACATATGGAAAAAAGCTCGACATCACTGATCGTCAGAGAAACGCAAATTAAAACCACAATGAGATACCATCTCATACCAGTCAGAATGCTGATTAGTAAAAAGTCAAGAAGCAATAGATGCTGGTGAAGCTGTAAAGAAATTGGAACGCTTTTTATATTTATTTTTTTTTGAAATGGAGTTTTGCTCTTGTTGCCCAGGCTGGAGTGAATGCTTTTACACTGTTGGTGGGAATGTAAATTAGCTCAACCATTGTGGAAGACAGTATGGCGATTCCTCAAAGATCTAGAGCTAGATATATCATTTGACCCAACAATCTCTTTACTGGATATATAACCAAAGGAATATAAATCATTCCAGTATAAAGACACATGCACACATATGTTTATTGCAGCACTATTTACAATAGCAAAGTCATAAAACCAACCCAAATGCCCATCAATGATAGACTGGATAATGAAAATTTGGTACATATAAACCATGGAATACTATGCAGCCATAAAAAAGAATGAGATCCTGTCCTTTGCAGGGACATGGATAAAGCTGGAAGCCATCATCCTTAGCAAACTAACATAGGAACAGAAAAACCAACACTACATGTTCTCACTCATAAGTGGTAGTTAACATTAAGAGCATATGGATACAAAGAACAGAACAATACACACACACCAGGGCCTGTTGGGGCTGGGGCTGAGGGGAGGAAACTTAGAGGACAGGTCAATAGGTGCAGCAAACCACCATGGCACACATATACCTGTGTAATAAACCTGCACGTTCTGCACATGTATCCCAGAACTTGATGTAAAAAAAAAAAATTGTTTTGACAAATCTGGATGCTTTACATTTCCATTTTAATTTTAGAATAAGATTCTCAATTTCTGCAATCATTAATAATGACTGAGTTTTGAATAAGAGTTGTACTGAGACTTTACATTAATTTGAGGAACATTGTCAATGTAAAGTCTGCTTCGTGAAATTAGGATATCTTTCCATTTATTTAAATATCTTATGTTTTCTTTCAACAATATTTTATCATTTTTGGTATGCATATCTCATACTTCCTTTCTTCAGTTTTTTTCTAACAAGTTTATTATTGTAATATTGTTTTAATTTTTTACTTATTTTCATTGCTAGTACATAGAAAAAATGATTTAATATTGATTTCATGTCTGTAAGTTTGATGAACAAGTATCTTAGTTCAAATAGTTTTAGAAGCTTCCTAAAATTTTCTGTCTACATGATCACATCATCTGTAAATAATATTACTGGTTCCTTTTCAATCTGTGATCTATTAGGTGACATACATATATATATACATACCTATGTTCAATCTGTGATCAATTAGGTAACGTGTGTGTGTGTGTGTGTGTGTGTGTGTGTGTGTGTGTGTGTAAAACCTAATTGACCCAAGTAAAACTTCTAATAATAAGTTTAATACAATTGCCTATAATGCAATTCTTATTTTCCTTCTAATGATAGGGTGTTTCTTTGATCTCAAGTGAACAATGCTTAGCAAAAATAATGCATAATTTCAAAATCAAATGTTTACATTTTTTACCTAACTTCCTAAAAAATTGTTAAAAAATGAGTAGCACAAATAGTTTTTTTCTTAATTTCACTTGTCAATACATCATTACTTGTAGAAATTATAAGCTAGTATTATATTAAACTAGTAATTATTTCTGTGAAAAGAATACTAAATATGACAAAACAAAAACAGTAATGGAGTTTACAAACTATAATTAGAAATAAATTTCAAGTGTTTGTAATTAATTCTATTCACAGTATGGTAACATTGATGTTAACTATCTAGAAAAATATCAAAAAGATAATATACAGCTTTATCATTTTACAGCATTTATATTTTAGAAAATAATTTAAAGTATTATTTACTACTTTCACTTAGTAACTGATAGCCAATGCAAACAGAATACTTTTTTATTTAAGAAAAATTTTATTATTATTAACAGCAGTTGCTACTTGTCTGATTTGCTACTTATGGGATTTGATAAAAATACATTTTAGAATCTGTTCATTTTGGTACTTCAAAAACCCTCTTTGTACTCACTATAAATAATCATATATCTTTCTGTCCTCAGTGAAAATGAAGAGTGATGAAAATGATTGTGTTATGTACTTATTATAAATGGACTGTTCTCAGTGCAGGATTCCAGGAATAATATGTAATATTCAAAACATCATACACATCTCACTAAAGTCCAAGAATATGAGTGAGATCATAGAAAGCATAGAATTTCAAATACCCTGGTTTAAATCTACATACTCTCAGCCTCATATTGAAGTTCTCTTATTTCTTTAATACCTTTCAGAATCTTCAGGAGCAAAATTTGAATGTATTCAAAACTCCCTCGGGAATAACAAACAGTTCACTCAGCCCAGACTGCTCAAAATCTTTTACATCCTTGTTCTCATTGCTCTAAATTCCCATTATTCATTTTACCTTTGCTAACAAGATCTGGTTTTGTTTCTTTGATTCTTTTCCTCAATTATAATCATTGTCCCCTCCAAAGTTAAACTCTTCATAATTCTTGGCACCTAACAAATGGTGGATTTACTCCCGGTGGTGCTACATTTCACTCTGGCTATAAATTATTTTACATGTGCCCCACAAAAATCTTCAAGACTTGTCTATATTTCAGCAGAAATGAGACATTATAACTCACGTTCTGCTTAGGAGACTCTGTTCTTCTTACATTAGTTGAAACTTTATACCTATGTGGATTAAGTGGAGGCTGAACATTGCCTAATTCCACATAACGGGCATATATGGATGTCAGCTGTAGGCCAGCCAGTATACAGATACCATAATATGCCTATATTAAATAGTAATAGTCTTATGTTGACTAATCTGAAGATGTTAAAATTAAAAAACTTTAATGTTTGTCTGTATTTACTCTAAGATTATACTAAAATTTATTTAGTAACTCATTTTTAAAATGTTGACATTACTGTTTTTGGGAGGGTGGGGTAGGGTCCCGCTCTGTCACCCAGGATGGAGTGCAGTGGCTGGATTATGGCTCACTGCATCCCCAACTTCCTGGGCTCAAGCAATCCTCCTGCCTCAGCCTCCTGGGTAGCTGGGACTACATCATGCACTACCTCACCTGGCTCATTTTTTGTAGTTTTTTTGTGGAGATGGGGTCTCACCATGTTGCCCAGGCTGGTCGCAAACTCCTGGGTTCAAGTGACCCACCCGCCTCAGCCTCCCAAAGTGTTGAGATTACAGGTGTAAGCCACAATGCCTACCTTACTTTTTGCCTTGGTGTGGTAGCTCATATCTGTAATCCCAGCATTTTGGAAGGCTGTGGCGGGAGGATCACTTGAGAACAAGAGTTGGAGACCAGTCTGGACAACATAGCAAGACCCTATCTTTACAAAAAAAATCAAAAAGAAGTTTTAAAAGTAAAATGTTTATATTACTTTTAGTATTACTACAGTAAGTAATAATTAAAATATTCTTAAATATGAAAAATAGAAAGTATATTAAATGTTCTTGGAATTAATCTCTATGAGTAGAAATACTGGGTCCCAATGCATGAGATTACATAGATTGTCAAAACCCTTTTCATAACCCTTCCAGGTGCCTCTTATATTCTTGCAAACATTTGATGGCTGAAAATGAGATATCATTTGATGATATAATTTTATGGTTACCATCACATAAATTTTATTTTATATGTATTGACAATTAGGTTTTCTTCCATCACCTATCTTTTTATCTCTTCTTGCACTTTCTACTAATGTCTTTATTCTCTTCCTTTGCATTGTACTAGAGTTTACGTCTGCATGCCATTGATTCTTATTACTAACAATATATGAATAAAATTTATGTTCTTCATCATTTCCACTATAAATGGTAATTATAATATTTTGTCTAGGGTTTCACAGCCTTTCTTCAAAATCCCATCCATTTACTTCTTGGTCTTAGCCTCTCTTTACAGAGTGTTTTCTGCTCCAGTTCCTTAGAGCCACAGGCTTTTGTGTCCTACAGAAGAGTCTAAATCATTCCCTACATTTGATAAAATGAAATATTCAGAGTGATGCTTTTGCCATCATTGTGTAAGAAGGTTATAGTCTTACTTTGTTCTGAAGTATTTTTTCCAGTGATCAAGTGTCAGTCCTCATTTTATTTAATCACTCCGCAGCATTTGACACACTTGATCACATCTTTTCACTTGATTACTCTCCTAGCTCACCAGTCATTCTAAGTCTCTTTTGTTGGCTCTCCTCTTATGTACCTGTACAGGCTGCACTTTCCCAGGACTGTGTTTTACTGTCTGTTTTTCTATCTTTACATTTACTACCCAGGGAATGCTATACAGGCCCAGGTGTTTAAATGTTGTAAATGCTGATACTTTCTACTGTAGTTTCTCTAGCCCTCGTTTTTCTATTGACTTGGGTATGAGATCAAATTCCTTACAAATGAAGACTGACAGAGGGATTGACATACAAGGAACCTACTAAGGGGATGTTGTCATGGGTGGCCACAAAGAGCCTCAGGAAACAGAATAAGGAATAGATGAAACCAAGCAACAATTTGGTTTCAGATAAGGAGCCACAGAGTTTGTTCCACCTGGAAGAAACAAAGATGGGCTATTTCTCTTCATATGTGATGACAAGGAAGAAATTGTGTGATGTGAGGTGGTTCTGATAGCCCAAGAACAATGTATGAGCAGATGTGAGCAGCAATGTAGGCGATGCATGCAGCCATTCAGTGAACTTTGACACTAGGGCATTTGGGTGTTGCAACAACAGTGTCTGCTTCAATGTCAGATTGCTTACTTGATATCTCTGCTTTAACATTAAGAGTCACCTAACATAAAACCATTTTAAAGTAGAATTCTGTGCCTTTTGACAAACTCTTCCAGTCTCATGATTGCTCAGTCTTCCCTAAGGAAAAAAAATTCAAAGCAGAGTGCTAAATTGAAGATAAATGTTTGCTTGGTACACTAACTTGCTTTCTATACTTGGTGACTCTCATGTTCCTGCATAGAGAACAGAATTCTCATTTGTACATCAAAGAACAACATCACTATGAACTTCTGGGCACTTAGGGAATATACTTATTATGATGATAAATTAACTGTATCTATATTTGAGTATCTCTTCTGCCTCTTTTTCCTAGTTGTGTTATCTTTCAGAGATATCTTACAAAAGAAAACCGGTTCTGAGGGGAAAGGTTTCCAATGAAAGCCTGTAGATTTTGTTGATTTAGATTCTGTCATTGTATTATATCATTTTCAATGCATTAAATTTTTATAGGTCTAAGGTAACCTTTCAAATTTTAAGAGCACTCTAATGGATTTTCACTGTACTGCCTGTATTTGAGTGAAATCATACAGCTCTCCTAGCTTTATCAAATTATTTATCTGACTCTGCTAAAACACCTAAACAATCCAAGCTTTTTATTCAGTGAATCAAATATTACACAATAAAATAAAGAGGGATGCACTTATACATGTGTATGAAAATGGAAAAGAGTCACAACATAAATTTAACCAGTTATAAATTTAGATATCCCATCCAGCAACTAATTAAATATAGTAATATAACATATTAGTTTTTAAAGCATATTTTTATTTAGAGAGGACAAAAAGACACTCAGCTATCTTATACTTGGTTGTGATTCTTACTTTCTTTGGAAATAGAACATAATAATATAGTTTTTACATCCCTAGGACATTTTCTCAGTTGGATGTTTCAGAGTAGACTACTTATTTTTAATGATTTGATATTCTGTCTTCACTGCCTTTTACACGGTTAAGTTACTTTCACTTTTATATTGCTAAAAATATTGTTCAACTAAAAACACTGAAGTCTCAAAAGCTGCACATATAAGCGCAATTAATGACTGGCAGTCAGTGTCCTTCATTTAGACTATCTGAAATTCATAGTGCAGCTTTATGCTCGTAACTGTTTTAACCTCTGTTGCTGTCATGGGATCTCTGCGCATATTTGCACATAGATCTCAGCAGGATGGTAAAATGTATGTTTTTTGTTGGAAACTGGGATATTTTAAAGTCTTTAGCACAAAGATCTAACAATGAACACTTTTTCCGTTCTTTGTGGTTGATAAAATTCTGTTTTATAGAGAAAATACTAAAAAGCCAATATTGTACAAGTACAAAAAGCCACATTTTGTTAAATATACCGAATAATTGGTTGTTATTTCTCCTTGAAATACAAATAACATAAGCAATCATACTTGACCTACTATATGCTAACAATCCAAACACAAAACAAAAACTTGTGCCTTATGACACTTTCATAAAATATTCAGCCATAAAGTATTCACAAAGAGATAAATATTATCTCTTTATCAATATATTTATGAGTATGCTCAAAACTGCATATTTAAAAGTACCTTAACCATCCTAAGACTGCCAAGCACAACTGTTATTTTCATTAGAGTAGCATTAAGCTACATTTTAGTGAAAATTCAATGGGTAAATATTAAAATATACTTGTAAAGTCAAAAAAGCATAAGTCAAATCAGCATTAGTGGAGGACCTTCTGTATAAGTCTGTGAAACTACTTTCACAATCAAGAAAATATAATTTTCATTTGTTCACAAAAGGGTCTATATAAGTCAGTGTAATCCAAACCTCCTTCCATCCCGGTTTCCAGGCAACTACTGATGTAGTGTCACTATATATTAGATTGCAGGCTTTTATCATTTTAAATAAATTGAATCTTCCAGTATTGCTTTGAATGTGGCTTCTTTCACTCAGAATTCAAATTTTGAGATTCATCTCTATTGTTCCAAGTTTCAATAACTCATTCTATAATTGTTATATTAGATATAATAATTTTGTGTGACGTGCCCCTTTAATACATACTCCCTTAAGATGTAGCCATTTCTTTAACTCATGTTCTGTGGATCAACAATAGGTACACAGATAAATTCTCTACTCATCTGAACTGTGTTGACTCCAGCACTTTTAGCCAGATAACGGATTATGTTATCTGGCCAGCCTAGAGTGAGCCACAGTTGGGACAGCTCATCTCTCTTCCAGGTGTTCTCTAATCATTCATTCATCCATCCATTCATTCATTCATTCATTCACTTGGCTAGCTAAGCTTCACTAGATGAAGATGGCAAAGTGTAGGAAGAGTGGCAAGACAGAAAACAAATTTTCTGTCTGCAAAGTGCACTGTGCCTGCACTTTGAGGTTTCTAGATATGTTATATTTGCTGTTATTCCATTGGCTAACACAAGTCAGACAACCAAACACAGAATCTCTGTGGGAAGTGTTGTATCACCAAAAGGTCTGAATATAGGAAGAAACATAATTTTAGTAGCTGTGTTTTTCCAACTGAGTGAAGTGTTTTGCATGTCGTTGAATAGGCAATGAATAAATGATTTGTATTCAATTTTTATCTGACTATTCATAGAATCATGAAGCATATTTTAAAAGAGCTTATACAAATAAAAACATTATCAGAACCAATTACCATTATTTGGATTGTTCTAAATCAATTATGGGAAATGCTACTTAATTTTAAAATAACTTATTTATGTTAGAAGTCACGACTAAGAAGGCAGTAGATTGCATTGGCATGAACACAGTTTCTGCTTGGTAGATAATTTCTACATTCATTCCTTCTTAGGGCTGTTTAGCCAAATGCATTTTTGAAAAGTATAATGATTTCCACTTGTTAGCTTTATGTATATAGTAAGCAAAGGTATGACATTGTTCTGACAAAATGAACAAGAGCAAGCCTGCTGTAAGTTTCTGGGTTTTATTTTCCTTTTTACTTAAAATATATTTTTCACCCAAGGCAGGAATAGGAAGAAATAACACATTTTAAGGTACTTTTAAAAAATAATAGAGAAAAGAGCTTCTCAATTATGAAGCAGAATACTCCAAGTTTCAATATTCTAACAATGTATACTATATACTACCACTGTCCTTATTTTCTATCAGAAGTATATAGTCTCTCTCATCAGATAGCAACTTTTGTACATATATTTTCGTTATAATTTTATTTGGGTCTAAATTGATTACAAAAAAAGCCACCCTTTGGCTGAGCGTCGTGGCTCACGCCTGTAATCTCAGTACTTTGGGAGGCTGAGGCAGGCGGATCACGAGGTCAGGAGTTCGAGACCACCCTGGCTAACACTGTGAAACCCTGTCTCTACTAAAAATACAAAAAAAAAAAAAAAAATTAGCCGGGTGTGGTGGCTGGCGCCTGTAGTCCCAGCTACTTGGGAGGCTGAGGCAGGAGAATGGCGTGAACCCAGGAGGCGGAGCTTGTAGTGAGCAGAGATCACGCCACTGCGCGCCAGCCGGGGCGACACAGCGAGACTGCATTTCAAAGAAAAAAAAAAAGGCCGAGGCGGGCGGATCACGAGGTCAGGAGATCAAGACCTTCCTGGCTAACATGGTGAAACCCCGTCTCTATTTAAAAATACAAAAAATTAGCCGTGCGCGGTGGCAGGTGCCTGTAGTCCCAGCTACTGGGGAGGCTGAGGCAGGAGAATGGCATGAACTCAGGAGGCAGAGCTTGCAGTGAGCCAAGATCACGCCACTGCACCTCCAGCCTGGGCAGCAGAGCGAGACTCTGTCTCAAAAAAAAAAAAAAAAAAAAAAAAAAAAAGCCACCCTTCTAAAAATATAGTTATGTGACATTTCAACCACACATAGAGATATATAACTGCAGCCATACAACCAAGATATGTTGTATTGCTATCATGGCCCCAAATTCCCTCACACACATTTTGTAGATAATTTTTGCCCTTACTTGATCCTCTGGAAAGCCATGATCTGCCTTCTGTCAACGTAATTTTTGCCTAATCCAGAAGGGCTTTAAAATGGACTCACAATATGTATTCTTTGAGTCTATTTTCATTGACTTGGCATTATGTATATGAGATTATGCATGCTGACGTCTGTGTCAGTAGTTTGTTGCTTTTTTGTTGCTGAGTGGTATTTCCTTGTGTGGATGTGCCACAGAGTATTCACCAATTCACCACCTGAAGGACACCAGTTTGAAACAGTTTTGAATAAAGTTTCTATAAATATTCACAAGAGATGTTTGAATGAATACAACGTTCATATTTTGGGATAAATACTTAGAACTGAGACTTTGGGTCATATGGTAAGTGTGCATTAATTTTATAAAAATTGTTTATTAGTTTTTAAATAGTTTATTAATAAAAATTGTTTACTACTTATTAATTTTATAAGAAACAAGTTGTTTTCCATAGTGATTCTACAGTGTAGTCTCTCCAAAAAAGAAAAAAAAACCGTGGGAGGCACCCCCATCAACACTTGCTATTGACAGAACTATGATTTTAGCTATTCAAAGTTATCGATTTCACCAAAGAATAACGACTTTGAGAATCTTTCATAGTCTTATTTGCCATTCGTTCATTTTAATTACTAAGTTGTTTGTATATTTAATGAGTTCTAATAGTCCTTTATATATTCCGGATGCAAGTCTTTTGTTAGCCATGTATTTTGAAAATATTTTATAGTGGAATTTACTTACTATTTTATTCTTTTCATACTTTGAATGGGCAGAAGTATTTAATTTGATAAACAATAATTAATCACATATTTCTTTTATAGGTTATGATGCTTAAAAATTTTGCATATATAAATAACATTTTTCTCTTAATTTTATTAAAATTATAGTTAAGTATTCACATATAGACATTTAAGTTTATACTATCCTAGGTATTGGTTTTCATATATGAAATTAAAATTAGATCTAGGTTCAGCATTTTTGTACATGAATGTTCAGTTGTTTCAGCCCTACACTGTCTGAAAAGAGGAAAACTTCTCAAATCAATGATCTGAATACTATATTAATCTATAATTAATTAACATCAGAGAGACAATTTTTATATAAAATTATAATTTAAAGTTTGTGCTCACGTGTATATAGGCTGTGTCTTTGTGTCCATGTATTGTGTATCCATTGTTGTTTGTGTGTCTTGGGTGTGGTATCAATGACTAGTAAACAAATGCTTGAGGTCACTCTAATTATGCTCTCTTCCTAATATTTGAAACTGGGTGAATTTTTCTTTATGTGAAACATTTGTTTAAAATAATATTTTAGGCCAGTCGTGGTGGCTTACTCCTGTAATCCCAGCACTTTGGGAGGCCAAGGCGGGCAGATCACTTGAGGTCAGGAGTTTGAGCCCAGCCTGGCCAACATGGTGAAACCCCATCTCTACTAAAAGTACAAAAATTAGCCGGGCGTGGTGGCAGGTGTCTGTAGTCCCAGCTACTCAGGAGGCTGAGGCAGGAGAATCACTTGAACCCAAGAGATGGAGGTTGCAGTGAGCCCAGATCATGCCACTTCACTCCAGCCTGGGCAACAGAGCAAGACTCCATCTTAAAAACATTAATAATAATAATATTTTTAAATGTTTTTTATATTTGCTCTGACTATAAGTAAATGGAAAATATGGCATGTACATGATGAAAGTTAGCTTTTTCTTCACAGGTTAAAATGTTGACAAGACAAATGTTCACTCTGTATGTGTGACCTGATGCTGTTTATGCTTGCTCACATTTGTACTTTTAAAGACGTCGTTATATTTTCAATAACAAGAAGTATATTTGTCCTTATTTAGAAGTATAAGAATTATTGATACAGTACAGTTATTGATATAATTTATTTTAATTTTAATACGAAGTAGAGTAAGAATTCAATTTATAACACAGGTATAGAGATCATCCAAATAGAATTCAAGTGATCATCCATTTATTAACTACACATATTTTCTTCATAAGTTTGCTAACAACAAGGTTTGTAAACAATGTAAAGCTATGAGGAGCTGTAGATACAGACTCATAAAAGTAACAGAAAAATTGGCAAGCTTGAAGACATCAAATTTACAAAGTAGGGTCATTTATCAGTACAATTTGAGATGGAAAGAAAATAAATACTCTTGCGAAAATACGTTTCCATGTACCTTCCTAAATGCCTATCCCAGTATGTACCCATAAGTGGTCTATTTCCTATTACTTCCAAAAGAGTTTCAGTCCTTTTTTCTGTGAGAACAATATTTAGATCAGGGCTCCCCAATCCCTGGCAAAGGACCAGTTGATGGTCTGTTAGGAACCGGGCCACAGGGCAGGAGGTGAGCAATGGGCCAGCGAGCATTACCATCTGAGCTCCGCCTCCTGTCAGATCAGCAGTGGCATTAGATTCTTATAGGAGCGTGAACCCTATTGTGAACTGTGCATGCAAGGGGTCTAGGTTGCAGCCTCCTTATGAAAATCTAATATCTTTTGATCTTCTGAGGTGAAACAGTTTCACCCCAAAACCATCCCTTACCTCCAAAACCTGTAGAAAAATTATCTTCCATGAAACAGGTCCCCGGTGCCAGAAAGTTTGGGGACCACTGATATAGATAATAAAAATTCAACTCCTAATTCTAACATAAGAATAAACGTAAAATATTAAGAAAGAAAAGTGTTTCAATGTTTCATAGCATGATAAAAGTAGATTCTGACTTATAATCAGCCCATAGTGCTGTCCACAGTTATAAACTTAGCCCTTTCATTCATGTAACATGTGGTGACCTAACAACGTCTTTAATTTATTTTCTAATTTACTGGTAATGAGGAACATTATGGCAAATAGTAATTTTATTAGTTAGTTTATATTCAACAGTCTACACCTGTGTTAGGCATTATCAACAAATGATTAATGTGATCGGAGCAGCTCGCTTCATCAGAGAATGGCATTTTCACTCGCTCTGACACTTCATTGTGCCAGTCATCTCGAAACATAAGGTCACAGCTGTTCTGTGACATTTTTACACAATGGAGAATCAGCTTGTTCCGTAGAGAAATAAAAAAGAAATTTAATAACCTGACATTTGAAAGTATAAAAAAGGCATTTCAAATACAGGTAATTTTACATGGATCTTATTGTGAAAACAACATCATGGTTAAATAAATAAGAATATTTTCTTAGGCCAATTATAATACACATTTCTAACAAGGCCATCATTGTCATTTTTTTCAGTATGCAAGACTGACCAGCTCATGAAATCTTTTCAGCATCCTACATCCCGTTTTTATTATAGATGGAAAATTGCTATTCATTAATATCTTAAAAATGCTTTTATAAGTTGTGGTATGTATTTATTTCAGCATAGAAATATAAATAGGCACATCTCTAACTTAAAATTACACATTTTAGTTGCAATAAAAGTAAATGATAACATTTAATCTGCTTCTGTTCTCTCTTTTCAGCCTATAGATTTGTCTATTTTACTACCACTCTCGAGATTTTTTAATTGTTTTGAATTTTTATTCTCACTTAATTTCTACCTTATCTATAGGATATTGCTAGATTTGTATTTGCAATTATTTATGCTTTGAGTGTTGGCTTAATAATCACCAAAAAGTAAGGTTGCCTATTTAGACATTTTCTATTGAATGTTGATATTATTTCATCTTTTGTGAAAATACCTCAAAATCTTTAGTTCTTATTATAATAATTAGGCATTTGAGAGGCTACTTCTGGTCTAACTTAAACATTTGTTTTTCTGTTAGGTATGACTTTCAATAAAGAAATTATAAATGAAATTAATCAATAATTAGAGTTTTGATTTTTTACTTTTGCCTTTTATACATATTTGACTTTTTGTTCTGCAAAATATTGAAAGCAGTATTTTAGCATCTTATGTTACCATTTTGTCTTGTGTGTGCCCTAAATTATTCTTCCCCTTTTCCCGTCCCCTCTCTCTCTATGTCTATATATATCCACCTTGCTTTCCATAATTTTACCCAGTTCAATGTCTTTCTAAGCCTTATAGATGCTCATATTTTGAATGTAGCCATGTCTTCCACCACAATAGCCTCCTATGTATTTGCATCTGTATTTGGATATTGAATGTATACTCAAGATTAAAACTAGGCCTCTAAATATTTAAATATTTTGTAAAGTCACCAAATCCATGCCATCAAGTATTTCCCATCTCATCCCTACTCCAAGAGGTGATCACGCAAAGATATAGGAGTCATTCTTTATTATTCTCATTTCCTTCCATGCCCCCACAGCCAATCAGCACCAGTTGTTTAACTCTTCATGTAATATTGTCTCTAAATCCATCTTTCCTGCTATGCTTCTGTCTAAAATATTTGTTTGGACTACTGTAACAGACTCTTAAGTGGTTGTTCTGTCTTTATTTTGGTCTTTCCTATAGTTTTTCTTTGAGATAACAGCCTGGGAACCATTTCTAAAGCATAAATGAGTAAACATGTTCATATACATGTCTGAAATTTAAGAGTCTGCACAATTGGTATATGGACACAAATTGATGAAACTCGTTAAACCACCAAGGATTGCATATAAAAAGAGATTAGAAAATATTCCAGTACTAAGCCTGGGACCTGCTATAATTTAGAAGTGGTAAATTAGGGAGCCATCCAAAGATACTGACACTGATATGCTCACTGAGTGTGGTAGGAAAGAAGTAGGAAATGGTAGTATTTGGAAGCTGGGTAAAAAGGTGTTTTGCAAGTGAGAGTGCTTGCATGCTGAATGAGACTTCTGTTTCTGGCCTTTTCAGAGTAAATGACACTGAATTTGACCTCCTTTTGAAAACAATGCGAAAACTGGACAAAACACAAGAAGTAAATGTTTGCTGGTATTATGCAGTTTCACAAAGTTGAGGCTTGAAAGAAGAAAAACCATAATGTGAGCCTCATCATCAACCTCGGATCACCCACTATTACCCTTGTGTTCTTCTTGAGAGCACTTTGCTGCTGCAATACGAGAAAAGGGATCTCAACTTTATAAGTGCTATTGCTCACCTGAGGACTGCTGCAGTAGTTATACTTTTTTTACTAAAATACCAGGGAGTTTGGTCTAGGTCCTGTACTACTACACAGTAGACAATGAGTATTGCCAGGGAAGAAGGCTTTAATTGAGTGCTGCAGTCAAGGAAATGGGACACTAGTCTCAAACCCATCTCTCTGACCATAAAAGAGTTTTCTTTGGAGTGATGGAATAGTTTTGCATCTTGATTGTAGTGATCATTATATTAATCAATTAAGAATTATACATTAACTACAATTCTTAATAACCTTAAATTTTAGTGAAAACTAAGAAAGCAAGAAATCCTGAACTGTCTATCAGATATTAGTTAGCATTTTATAGATGAGAACATTGCACAAATTTTGGAAACTATTTCCCCATTCTTATTTGGAATTATGCAGACATTCAATAAGCATCAAAAATAATTTTAAGATTTTAGGCTAAACAAAAGTCACATAGAACATTTATTCCATTTACATGTACTCAATTCTTTTACTTTTTTGTTTCTCTAGTATACTTCTGAAAACTGAAATATTAAACAAAGCTAGTCATCATTTCAAGTAATTTCCTTGTTATTAATTTTTTAAGCCTGTGAATATCTAAGTAAGAAATTTAAAATTAAATACATAGGTATTTTTGTCAATAACTCAAAAGATTCAGCTGTTTTTACTAAGGTAAAAACATTAAATTAGTCTCATTTATCAAAAAAAACACATAAATATCTTGTTTTGACTGGATTTATACTTTCATAATCTTCTGCGCTCAACCTTGACACTTCAACAAATCTAGCAGAGACAAATACAGAACCCAGAAAAAAATGCATTCTAACAATTCAGAAGACATTTATATTTTTATCTTACCAATAATTTTAAAGCCAGCATGTTTACTAAAGATTTACTTAAGTCACATGAACTTGAGAAATACTTTGGATTTATTTACCTAATTTATGAGTGCTCTTTTATTTATAGGTAAATTTCATAGACACAACATTAAAACCTGGATGCATGGGACTCCATCCCACCTTCCCATTCAACAGCAAAATTAGGCCCATGGAGAGAACAAACTTCTCCAGGTTCCAAATAATATTGGGCCAAACAGCATTACAAAAGATTATAAGTTTATCAAATTCTGATTTCTCATGACACACAAAAACACAATTACCAAAACACAATCCAACTGCTGCAACAAGCAACAAGCTCCAAGAGTGTTCAGACTGAAACAGCAGGAGTGCTTCCGCTCTCCATCAGCTGGGCTTGATCTACTTGCAAAGGTCCACTAGCTTTTACTTTGGAACTCTAGCCATGAGATAGCAACATAAACTCAACAGTTTATGGCCACGTTCAAATGGCTAAACTTTGTTTGCCCCAGTAAGTAATTAAGAAGAGCCAATCCAGCTGTCTGGTACCTACAAAAAACACTTGTCCAGACACACACAATTACAAACAAGCCCCCAAAAGTGCCAAAACTGAACAGTCAGGGTGCTTCCCTCTCTCAGTCAGTTGGGATTATTCAACTTGCAAATGGAAATTCCTTTATTACCTTCCCAGATTGAGAGGAGCAGTTCTTGCTGTCTGGGCCCATAAAGGATACTCATGTAAATGGATGAAGATGTCAAATTTCAAAGGCTGTTTTTTCAGGCAATCAACGCAGTTGGGGCTGGCAGTGACAAGGCCAGAGAAAGAGAGACTGAGATCCACCTCTGCCCAAAAAATGGTCAGGCGGCTGCTTAGGAAGGCTTCTAAAACTATTAGCTCATGGCAGCTGAGCCAGGAGCAACACATTCCCAGTCAGGGAACCAAAATCTTGTTATCATAATGCCAGAGGTTTGGTCTAGGTCTTGCTGCTCACTGCACAGAAAGCCAATCACTGAGACAAAGAGTATTGCCAGGGAAGAAGGCTTTAATCAGGTGCTGCAGCCAAGGAAATGGGAGCAACTAAAATCATTGGTTTATGTAGCAGGAAAGAAATGTAACAACATGCAGAAAAACAGGAATTAGGGAGGGGTAAGGAAGAGTTGATCAACAGGAGGCAGTTGGTCGTTTAGGCAATCATGATGGGTGAAAGGTCTGGTGTCTCAATTGTCCAGATATGGTGATCTGGTAAGTTTCAGATCGTTGATACTATCAGGGAGGCCTGATGTTTGGTTTCCCGAGAAAGAAACTCAGATCTAAGACAACTGTAAGCTTCTCAAATTTTAAGACTGGAAGGGTCACTTTCTATGTTCATTCAAAAGAAATCATAAATATCAGTTCTGTGGAACAATTGGGCTGGTTTCTCTTCGATATGCAGAGTATCGGGGAAAACAGTGTTATATGAAAAAAAAGCCCAGTTGTCTTTCTTCAAGGTCTTAACTGAATACTGGGCTGGTCATGTATAGGTAAGATTCCATGGATTTGAATTCTGCTTCCAACCTATGTAGCACAAAAGGTATCATATATACCTTCCCACCTAAAACAACTAAAAACTGAAGAAACATAGATTTTAAAAATTCTTTCAGACATTGGGTATTAGATTACAAATAATGGCCTCTGAGATACAGAAAATAGATGAAGTGAACCTCCAGTTGCCCAAGATTCCTGTCTGGAGAAATTTCTGAGGTTGCATAGGGAGAGGAAACTCAGGCATAACTATCAGTGACCCTGAGTTGAGAAAACAAATATACTGGGAGTCAGGAGTAAGCATGGAGGCTAGAGTTTGCTTTACAAAGTGATAGACATGAGAGAGCTGGACAGAGGCAGAGCTGGGAATATCTGCAGAAGGTACTTGATTATTCATATATGCATATATGAATAATGTATATATGTATATATATGTACACACGCACACACATATAAATATGTAAATTATATATGTGTGTATAATGCAATACATATTTATATATATATACACATAATATTTGTATTTTATATATATACATAGATATATTCTAGAAGAATCATAAGCTTAAAGATAAAAAGCCAAGCAAGAACTAAACATGACTATAATAGGGCCTGGGTTTAGAATATGAGAGAGAGGTAGCAGCTGTAAACAAACAGCCCCAAACTGTTTTTAGATTTATAACTTTCAGCTTATTAAGTCATCCAATACATAGAATTTAACCATAAGTGTGTGGTTTCTGACCCTATATATCTGTTAATACCATATTAACAGAATACATATTCAAATATTCAGACTAAATAATTGCAACACAAAAAGAATTTTACTTCTGAGTCACTAAAATGCAAAATCATGTTTCTGGTGATTATCTCAGCAAATGCTGGTTAATCATACTGGTAAGTAATGCTAGCTGCAGTGGATGTTATTCATCAGAATGTCAAGACTTCATAGACTTAATGGTAATAAAATTGTCAATTACATTTTCTTAAATGTCTCCTTATGTTCCTTTAAATTTATGTTCCTTTAAATTTACATGTCCATAGCTGTAATAGAAAGTGAAAATACGGGAAGTTAAAATGAACATATCGCTTGCATTTGGAGTTCCACTTTTTGCTTTTTTTTTCTCTCTTATTAGATAGAAGAATATATTCCCTCAAGGTAAAAAAAGAAAAGGTGGCCACCATGATGCTTCTTCCTTTTAGAGAAGAAATCAATTAGAATTTTATAGAGCCCAGTAATGTAAATTCTTTTTGTTATTTGAAACATTTTCTGTATCTTTAGTTTCAGGCTAACCACAGTGTGAATGTCAAATCTAGATTTTGGAAAAACAGAGAAAAGACTAATGCCATTTATCTATAGCTCTATCATATTGTTCTTAAATATACTGAAATATCTGAGCTTGGGTTTTATCCATGTACCATTTACATATATATATACATATATATATAATTTAGGAAATTTTTGGAGTGCTTATAGTTATCTGTGTTTCTGCTATTGAGTCATTTTGGTGTTCTCAGAGACTAGGAGAAGATTTCAAACGACTTTCTTACTCAAAAACTCTACCCATTCTTCTGACAGTCTCTCTCCTCTCAATCTCTCTCTGTCCATGTTCAGGGTTCAATTCCTATTGATTAGATGAAAACTTAATACATTCTATTTCTTCAGTTTTAATGAAGAGATGTATATAATGTGTTAAAAATAACTCTCAATATCTTGTTTTGTAGAGATATTATACACGTTTAAAAGTAAATTCCTTTTCTATTCATTTAATAAATTCAAACTATGCCTTTAAAAATGGTGCCAGAACAAATCTGATTCACGTTGGCAAATGTCTTCTTTTCCCCCTGCTGCTCTTCTTTATATCGTTCCCTTTTCATAAGCTTTTGTTCATTTCTGGCCTTTTCAGCATCTGTGACTTTTATAAAACTTTCTTTTCTTTGGTTATAAATTGCAATGATTTTGCTCTAGCTAAACTTCCCAATTGCTACAGGTAGAATTTTGGTAAAAGTTAAAGACATTCTGTGTTTGATATAAATATTTGTGTACTGTCCTGTTTTAATTTTTAAATAATTCATTTGAAATAAAATTAGCTATCAGGTTTAAAAGTAAACTGAAAACAAACATTCTTGTTCAAAAAGCATTGACAGGCTGGGTGCAGTGGCTCACACCTGTAATACCAGCAATTTGGGAGGCTGAGGCGGGTGGATCACTTGAGATCAGGAGCTCAAGACCAGCCTCTGCAACATGGTGAAACCCCATCTCTACTAAAAATACAAAAAAATTTAGCCAGGTGGTAGTGGTGCATGCCTGTAATACCAGCTACTTGGGAGGCTAAGGCAGCATAATCGCTTGAGCCTGGGAGGCGGCAGTTTTGGTGAGCTGAGAGCGTGCCACTGCCTCCAGTCGGGACGACAGAGTGAGACCCTGTCTCAAAAAACCAAAACAAAAAAACAAAGACCATTTACAGAATAGAGGTAGACTTCCTCCAGACCCCAGCCTAAACACACACACACACACACACACACACACACACACACACACACACACGGAGGGAGAGAGAGAGTTTTCTATTAAAAGCTTGAAAGTTTGAGGAGAAGAAATTCCAACAGCATCTATGTGAAATGATCCAGTGGTCAGTTCTATATACTGGCCAGGATTTCTGAAGAGATGTTGTCATGGTGAGAAAAAGAGATTTGAGATTCATCAGAATATGTTATAGTTGGTACTTAAGGCTATAAACTTTGGAAAAACGTTAAAAAGAAGAAACTAAATATGTATGTAATGGACCCCAGGATAATATCTATGAATATGCCGATAGTTAGATTTTAGCAGAGGAGTAGAACCAGAAACAGGAGGTGAGTGGAAGAGCAGCCAGTTATGATGGAGTATTATTTCAGCAAGCCAAGAGAAGTTATTTCAAAGAAGTGTCATGTAGATAATAAAGCAAAAGTAGGGTGACTTGGTGACTAAAAAGTGGCCACTGGATCTGCCAACAGAAAGGCTATTTTGAAATTAATAATAGCAGTTATAATAAAGGCTGAGATGAGAACCTTTTTGGGAAGGGAAACTGAGGTGCTCAAGTCTCCCCAAAACTGACAGATAACAGATGAATTTCCCTGTGTAGGAGAGTAGAGAAATGGAGTGCTGAGGGGGAAGTGTTTAGTGCTTTTTATTTTTTAGATAGACATATTAAAGTGTCTCCGCTGTCTTTTTAACCAAATTTATTATAGTCATACTGAAACCAGCCCAATTGCCCCATCAAGTTAACATTTATAGTTTCTTCTGAATAAACATGGAAATCAGCACTCCCAGTCTTAAAATGGGAGAAAGTTACAAATGTCTTATCTGACTTTTTTCTCAGGATTCCCAGATAGTTACCAGATCACTCCATCTGGACAATGAGACTCCAGACCCCTCACCCACCACAATTGCCTAACCAACCACCTGCTTTCTGTTGACCAACTCCTCTTCCTTACCCCTCCCTGTTTCCTGTTTCCCATATGGATACATTTCTTCCTTCTATATAAACCCCTAATTTTAGTGGTTCAGAGAGCTGGATTTGAGATGGATCTTCCATCTCCTTGCATGCAGCACCCAAATAAACCCTTCTTCCCTGCCAATACTTGTTGTCTCAGTAATTGGCTTTCTTTGCAGAGAGCAGCAGGACCTAGACTGAACCCTTGGTCTAAGGTTCTACCTAAAAAAATTACATTTTATTTTTTCCTGTGTTTTTGTGAGACAGACTCAAGACTAACCGGTTTCATGCCATGTCAGGGTTTTGTAATTATTGATATATTTATAAGCTACATGTGTATATGATTTCTTTGCTTAGTCCTATTATCTTTTGTATTTCATTACTGTCATATTTTTTCTATATCATTTCCAATAGATCATGTTTTATTTAATTTACCTGAATTTTTTTTTGGATATTTTCTTCTGGTACTATTTGAAAACTTTCAAATTAATTTTTCTATCAGAGTATTTGTCTTTTAAGATATTTCCATTAAGTCTTTCTTTTATAAAATACAGTGATTTCATAATAATTTTTATCCTGTGCCTAATGTTTTGTTCTTTCTATTTTTTTTTATCTGAGGTAGTATAGGGTAAGGTAAGGTAAGGTAGAACTGAAAATGAATTTCAGCTCTTCACTGCTGTAACTTTGTTGCAGTGTCCATATCAAGCATTTGATTTTTCCAACCCTATACATAGATTTACACATATATGTTTGTTCTACATTACTGTTTTTAGATCACCTGCACCTCAACCTGTTTCTTCCAGCTTTCTTCTCCCAAATCTTCTCCATCTACAACAACACCCTTTCTGGCTTCACTGATATTCTTATTTATAAATATTAGCTGGTTATCTTCAAGTCTCTAGATTAGGGAAACAGAAAGTAAGGCTTAGTGTTTCTTCCAGCTTTGGCCTAGTTTCTCTTCATCCACTGAAACATGAACATATTAGCTTGATTCTCAAAATCTAGGGTCATGAAAAGCACTTGGAGACTTTGGTAAAACCAAATTTCCAGAAGCCATAATTTTCAGATGTTCTGATTCAGTAGATATGAAGTACGTCTTGATGATTTGCTTGTCCAACATTTCCCAAGGCTGCTGCTGCTGTTTTTCTGGGGATCTCATATTGAGAAAGATTGATATAGACTGAAGGAATTCCCCACATCACCAATGTTAATTAGAAAATGATGGCCTTTCATGGTGTCTTATTCCTTGTACGGTTTAGCTCTGCATCCCCACCCAAATCTCATCTCAATTTGTAACCCCCATGTGTCAAAGGAGGGATATGGTGGGAGGTGATTGAATCATGGAGGCAGTTTCCCCGATGCTGTTCTCATGATAACGAGTGAGTTCTCATGAGATCTGATGGTTTAAGTTTCATACTTCCTCTTTCACTCTTTCTCTCCTTCTGCCATATGAGATGTGCCTTGATTCTCCTTCGCCTTCTGCCATGATTCTAAGTTTCCTGAGCCCTCCCCAGCCATGAGGAACTATGAGGCAATTAAAGCCTTTTTTTCTTTATACATTACTCAGTATCAGGCAGTTCTTTCTAGCACTGTGAAAATGGACTAATGCACACCTGTAATCCCCACACTTTGGGAGGCTGAGGCAGGAGGATC
Organism: Homo sapiens; assembly: GCF_000001405.40. Classification (NCBI taxonomy): domain Eukaryota; kingdom Metazoa; phylum Chordata; class Mammalia; order Primates; family Hominidae; genus Homo; species Homo sapiens. Next base: position 84,950,557 of record NC_000013.11, read on the forward strand.
ACTTGAGGCCAGAAGCTTGAGACCAGCCTGGTCAATATGATGAGACCTTTTGTGTACAAAAAAATGCAAACAAATTAGCTGGGTGTGGTGACACACACCTATAGTCCCAGCTACTTGAGAAGCTAATGCAGGAGGATCACTCACGGTAGCCTCCACCTCCTCCACACCACTACTTCCAGCCTGAGCAAAAGGGTGAGATCCTGTCTCAAAAAGAAAAAAAAAAGAGAAACAAATATGACTTATTTTCTATCGCAAGCACATGAGAACATCTGCTGAAAGATCCTAGTCACTCTAGTATTCAATGCATCTCAACTCATAATCATTTGAACCAAAGCCTTTTCACATAAATGATGGAAAACATAATTAAAAGCTGTGAAGGTTGATCATAATAATAAAGATACTGCCATCCACTTAATGAGCCATTCAGACACTTCACTTCAGACTCCCACATTACTTGATGTACTCTCCCTTTTTCACTCTTTCTACAGTTTTCAATGTCTTTTTAGGAAACCTACTAAACACATACTTGAGTAATATATCTCTTCCTTGCCAGGAAGCAATAATGTCAGATCTATTCCAATACCTATTTGTTGATCTTATTTTTGACCATTTGTATTTGTTTTACGTACTGCATAATGAATTAAGAAAATGTTAGCAGCTTTAATATTACACATCTATTACCTCATAGTTTCTGCAGGTGAGAAATACAAAGATGAATTAGATGAGTCATTTGCCTAAGGCCTCACAAGACTAAAATCAAAGTATCATCCAAGGCTGGTTTATAATCCAAAGGCTCCACCAGGGGACCAAACTGTTTACCACCTCCCTTAGGTCATTGGTAGAATTCATGTCCTTACAGTTTTAGAGTTATGGCAGTTTGCTTCTTTAAAACCAACCACACAGAGATAAAGATTAGGGTGAGTAAGCAACCAAATGGAGTCTTACCAAATGTAATCTCATATGGTGTACCTTTGCCATATTCTCCAGGCTAGAAACAAGTCACAGGTTCTTCTCACAGTAAGAAGAAATGATAAAAAAGCATGAACCACAAAGAGCAAAAAACATGCAGATCACTTTTTAATCTGTCCACTGCACCATTTAATAGCTCCTTTTAAGTAAATTTGTCAGCTATTAATCCAATAATCATCTTTTAATTTTTATGTCGAAGCTTAAAGCATGATGATAAACTCCTACTTCATAGCATAGTTGCAACTGAGGAGCTGAGGTATAATAATAATAGTAGTAAAATAATAAATAATATAATAATAAAATATGTAATTGTTTATCATAATAAATTGATCTACTTCTTTAGGGGCGTATATTCTTAATGGCTGCTTTTAAATGTCATGATTTCTTAAAATTCTTAACATGTTGGTGAATATCATATATAAAAAAACAAAATTAAATGGTTCATGGCAGAAACTTTAGGACAGGTATCATATCATTTGTTTTTCTAAAATGACAATGTAAGAATCTTCCTGCCTGCATAAAAAGCTAGCTCAGATATTGACAATATTCCAAACAAAATATTTAATCAATATTCCAAATATATGCATTCATTTTAGAATACTATATTTCACATGCCATTAAATATATATTTATTTTTGAGGTTTTCTAACCTCTAATATTCCACATCAAAACTAATTTTAACATATGATATAGGCTTTGAAAAATATACCTATACAAATTAGAAAGATTTGTCAAAAGATTCATAAAACTATTTTGTTTATAAACTTTTCCTGCTCATTGGTCATTCATATATCTTTTGCATTTTTCTGAAAGCATTTTTTTCCATACTACCTAAACATAATTTAACATGCAATAGAAGGGAAGTTAGACTTCTCACCTCTCATGAAAATCCTGGGAAGGGATTTTTATATTCACGTAGTTTTACTCTTTGTAAAGCTCAGAAAAGCTGATGCACTGTCTGGCAATCTTTTATGTGTTTATTTAATTTTAGCGAATATCTGAAAATCCAAAAGCGTTCAATATTTTAACTTTTATGTGTTAACTACTTAATATGTTAATGCACCAATATGCACACATTACATATGATACAATGATTACTGTTCCCATGTTTATTTAACAGGACTATTTTCAATTTCTTAGGTCAAGTTGGATTTTGACAATTTCATTTTTTTATTTTGCTCTGATGGTATTTCACCATAAAAACATCCCATTTTGTTGGTTTGTTTGACAGGAAAAAAATTTAAACCTCTAATTTCTACTTAATTTCATGAAGATCTTGTTTCAATATAGTCTTACAAATACATTAAATTGACTTTTAATTCACTCAGTAAAGATAGGATGTTCATTAATGTGGACAAATAATACAGTGTATATATTAATCTAGTAGTCATAAAGACTGTTAAATTTAATATTCTTAACTAGATTGAAGTCATAGCTCACTAGAATTGCAAGGTTGAGTATTTAATTAATACTTGGCTTCTCTTTTTCTATGAAGATCTGTTAATGACCTTTGCCTTTGGAAGAAAAATGATGCATTCCTAATAGTCTAAGACATACGAATGAGTACCAACAACCAATAAACATAAATTTTTGGTTATTTAATACAAATTGAAATAAGTTAAATTGCCGTTTTGGAAAGTTTTTTATGACAGCTAAGTCAATCTATATTTTAATAGATTGTCTAATTTATAAACTTTTAACTTGGACTTCATTAATATATTCCTATGAACTTTCAAGTTTTCATTATATTATTATATTTTAAAATATATATTGTGTTTATATTCAATAATTATACATATATATTCTTTAAAATAGATAAGAATAAATTTATACTTGCTGGAAATGAGAGGCAATACAAAATAAATTTCTCATGGAATGGATTCATATTGATATATTTGTGTTTCTGAATTATTTGTTTTTTAACTCATAATAAATTTCAAACATATAAAAAGAATATTATTATGAATCTTCATGTATCAGTCACCCAATCTTATCAATTATAAAAATATAGAAAATCTTGTTTCATCTATACCACAGCCCATTTACTCCCCAACCCACAACAGTTTGGAACAAATTTCAAGCAATGTATAATTGCTAAGTATTCAAGTATTTTTATTGAGAATCTTTTATTTTTTCAACTATTCCCACAATAACATTGTCATACCCAAAATTAATTAACAAATGTCCTTACTACCATCCTACATGAGGTCATCGATAGCAGACAATGAAGGCTATTAATTTTAATTGTTTGTTATAAGTTCTTCAGTACCATTTATGTACTATTGGTTTTCTCATCCATATATTATTCCTAAAAGTATATTTATTATATGAGAAATCTTATTTTCTTGTACTGACTTTTGCAATTTTGCTTTTAATGTTTGCACCCCACTAGTGTCATGTTGTATCTTCCTTTCTTCCCCGAAATTAGTATTGTTGTAGGAGTTTTTTCTTAGTTCAGCTAAGAGTAGTTTCATGTCACAGGACCATGAGAGATAACAGACACTTCGAAGGGTAAGAAAAAATTGAATTTATTGGGCAAAAAGGGAAACGGGCCCTCTGCAAAGCCAGAGTCCTGCTAGCGTGCTTCCTGCCATGCAGATTGAATCCCAGGTTCCACCCAGGAAGAAGAGGGGCCAGGCTTCTCTGGGCTGCAAGTGGCGGGATCTTCTATGGGTCCACCCCAGTGCACAGGCTAGCTGGAGTTTATCTGGGGACCCTTCCCTCCTAGCTGCCTCAGTATGAATTAATAATTCAATCCAGAGTCCAGGTAGGACTCAGGTTTGATGTTTTGGCAAGCATCCCTCAAAGATGTTTTAAAATACTACCATTATGTAGATCATAATGTCTGGGGTCTTTTTTTTTTTTCAGTTATATTTGAAACTACAGATTACATTGATGTATTAATGTATAAGTGACTGCAAAATATTACTATCTTAGCTAAAATATTTTAGACTTTTGTCCTTTTATAAAGATTTAGTCTTCAAATCACTCATGTGGTTACCTTAAGATATAATCCATAAAGGATTATATCTTTTATAATCCTTTTTTCTTTTATTTACTATTTAAAAATAAGAAAATTATTTTTACGTGTGTGTGTGTGTGTGTGTGTGTGTGTGTGTATACTTCTATTAGTTTCCCTATGGTCTCATGAAAACTGTTTTAGATAAACTCAATAACAATTGAAACACATTTTTGTTCATTCTGCCTATACACAGTAAATCAATCACTGTGTCAGGGTTTTGCAAAAGAAAACAGATTTATTCACAAGTCTGCCCAACAAGGATGTGAGACAGCAGCTCTCAAATGTGCCTCCCAAGATAAGGCTTAGGGTATTTATGGGTTAGAGAAGTGGGGTGGTCCAAGTCATGGTGAAAAGTGGTTGACAGTGTAGAAAAATGAAGTAATTACTGATCTACACACACGTTGTCTGGGTTCATGTCATTTCATTGGACATAAGTTCAGAAAATGGAGGTATTAGCCTGATTTGAGAGTGGAGTTTTAGGTCTTCTCATGTCAAAAGTCTACCTCTTGGGCATTTGCACAGGCCCAGTTGAAAAGTCAGTGGTCTCAACTGTTTTGAACTGGACAAGAGCTGCCCCACGTGTGGCCTTCATCTACCATGGCGTTCAGCTTCATGGAAAATAAAATAACAAAAATAGTTTTGTGTATTTTTTTCTGTTTTTTTTTTCCCTTGAGATGTAGTATCATTAAGCATATATAGAAAAACTTGTTTTTTAAAAGCAATAAAATTTCGGTTTTGATCATATACATATATGTGCACACATTTGTGTTTCTATATATGTATATGTATATGTATGTTATGTATATATGCATACACAAAAACATGAAATTAGATATATAGAGAGTCTACTTTTTTATTATATCTTCTAATTTGTTTTTGTTCTTACATGAAATGGCTTTTTCATTTTTAAATGTTCATTTTATAATATAGTCTTCACTAAATCTTCAATTAAATCTTTCATATTAACTATTTTTAGTTTCCTGGATATATAAGCATTTGATAATAATTAGAGTTCTTTTTATAATATTTGCCAATTCTTATGCCTCTAATTTCTTTTTTTTTTTGTCTAATTGCATCAGCCAGTTCCTCTAACACAATGTTAAGCAGTAATCAGGTTAAAAAGATATCCTACTGTTCTTTCTAACTTTAAGTCCAGAAATATGCTCTTGTGTCTCTCCATTTACAATAATTGACTTTATGATTTGATAACATAGAATATTTTTTGCTAATCTTGTGAGAGACTCAATTTATATTTTGTTGAGTATTACTAGCATCATTGATTATTGAATTGTGTTAGATTTTTTTCCTTTCAGCCTCGTATGTTTTTCTCCTTAGCTATGGGATGCATTATAATGATACATTTTTAATATGAAATGAGAATAAACATTCATTCCTAAACCCATTAAGTTTGAATAAAAATGTCTTGACTTTTTGCTATTATCTAAGATTTTGCATACACACACAGAAATACAACATTTGTGCGTACGATAATTTAGTTTTTGTTTACAGGTTTGGAAATCACCTTGATTTACTAATAAATTTGAAAAATTTTCTAGCCTTTTCTTTGTTCTGAGTTAGTTTAGCAAGTATTGAGATGTTTGAACACATTTCCGTGGGGAATACTCATAAGGTAAATATGGCACAAATTTGATAAAATTTCCTTGAGGTTACCATCTTGGGCTGGCACTTTTAAGGGGCATTTCTTATCTTGTTATTTATTTGATTATGTGTTCTGCCTTACCTGGCATCACATTTGGTAATTATACCCCCTACAAAACTATCAATTTAATATGATGATTTTTATTCTATTTTCACTGAGTTGTGCAAAATATTCCCACATTAGATTTAGTTTGTTTTACTTTTTTTTTAACATGTATATGTTTGGATGTTACTTTTTCTGTGATGTACAATTTGTATATATGCACATTCTCCTTCCCATTTTTATTTTATGATCTACCCTTTTAATTGTGATATTTTCAAATTAATGATTTTTGCATTTATTAACTTTCTTTTAATTTTTTTCTAACTCATTAATGTCTGCTTTCTACCTTTTTTCTAATTCCCTGCATCTTGTTAAGCTATTTTTCTCTTTTTAGTTTTAAGTACATTATTCACTATATATATATATATATATATATATATATATATATTTTTTTTTTTTTTTTTTTTTTTTTTTTTTTTTTTTTTGAGGCAGAGTCTTGCTCTTTCACCCAGGCTAGAGTGCAGCGATCTCAGCTCACTGCAACCTCCGCCTCCCAGATTCAAGTGATTCTTCTGCCTCAGCCTCCTGAGTAACTGGGATTACAGGTGCCTGCCTGTAGTAGAGATGGGGTTTCACCGTGTAGGCCAGGCTGGTCTTGAACTCCTGACCTCGTGATCCACCCACCTTGGCCTCCCAAAGTGCTAGGATTACAGGCATGACCCACTGTGCCTGGCCATAATTCACTATATTGTTGATGTTGCTTTCTGTTGATATAAGTATTTTATGCCATGTATTTTCCTCTGATAATTATTTGCTATATTTCATAGATTATGATATTATTTAGTTACCATTCTTCTAAATAAGTGCTGCCACTCCGTTTTTCCCTTAGGCCTACATGTTAAAAATAATGTTTTCGATGTTTTAGGTGACAGAGTCTCTGCAATCTTGTTAATTTCTAGCTTATTTTTCCAACACTATTATTTGGAATTAACTAAAGAGCACTTTGGGGCCTAAAATATAGTTGATTTTCATGTGCACTTGAAAATAAGTTATATTATTTACTATTTTAGTTCAGAGTGTTTTATTTATACAATCTACCTTCTTGATGATGTGTTGTGTGTTTCTTATCTAAAATAGTTTTGCCCAGTTGCTCTGTTTGGGAGTAAGCTATAAGCAGCATTTTTTAATAGAGCTGTTGTAGTCTTTTTTTCTTCTGAAAGCCGATTCTGATTTATTTGAAGCAGTAGCATTACTAACATAACCTAATTGTGAGTTGCATTCTTTAGTATCATAAGCGCCTCTTGCTGTCTTTTAAGTGTTTTTATATGTCTCAGTATACCTTGTCTAATATTAAGATTGAAAATCATGTTGTTTTGTTTTGTGCTTTCACCTGATATATTTTGACTCATTTTTAAATATTTAACCTTTCTGAATCTCTGCTTTAAGTTTTTTTTGTGTGTACAGTTTTGGATATTGCTTTTTTACATCATTTATATTTACAGTGCTTATTTTTAGGATGATCCATTTTTATAATTTTTGTTTATCCCTGTTTTTTTTAATGCTAGGCTGTATTTAAGCTTGTTTTCAAAGTATATGATTTATCTACCCTAGCTGAGTTGAACTTCTCCCTGTGATATTGATGACAATTTTATCAGTTTCTTCCAAATTATGCCAGAGTAACTTTGCTCAAATTCTATGATTTCTTTGTACAGAGCTACTCATAATAATTCTTAGAATCTCTGTGTCTTCAAATTGTTTTCAGAATAATTTTGAATTATGTTTTTCTTTATACATTGTGTGTGTGACAATGCTTTCTTATTTCCTAACTAAAGAAAAAAATTACAATTTCGAACAAATTAAAAGCATATTTTATAGGATTTGCTTTTTGGTTTATGGTAGCAACCTTGAAGTGAAGTGAAAATGATTGGCGTATAGTCAGTTGGTGGAAAGATAGTCACCATAATATTGAAGATCACATACCTGTAAGAAAAAGATTAATTTCTAGATTGACAGCCTTTATTAATGAACAGAATTTGTTTTATTTTATAAACTGAACAACAGCCAACTTGTCTTTATATTGATAAGAAACCAAGAACTTCTATGGTCTACTTTTTAAGACTTTTTTTAATAAGTGAAAACATCTACAAATAAAGTTTTATTTCTGCTGTTAAAATTGTGTAAGTGGAAAGGCCAATAAATACTATTTTTACGGTAGCCTTTTTAATAACATTCACTTCTCTGTCTCTCATTTTAAAGAAAATAAAACTGGTTTCTAGGCCTTGGTATTGATTGATAAGCTCTTCAATCTTTTTTCAAGACTTTGTATGTAGTCCATAAAAAACAACAAATATCACACTCATATCTCTTACATGTTTCTTAATCGAAATGAAAACTTCATTTATCAACTTCAATAACAGTAACATTCACGATGACTTCTGTAAATGTTCTAATTGTATTATCCTCCACTAGTCTGGCAGATCCAGCAGGAAATACAGGAAATTATTCCAGGCTTGATTTTCTGTTTTTGAACTTTACTATAGATTAATGTAAATGTGATTAAGTGCATAAATCTTTTTGTCTAACGCAGTTTATAAAATTTAATAAACTAAACATAGTAAATTGTTTAATTACATCCCTTTGAGTTTTTAAAGCCACAGTTTTGTTGCTGTACTCTTAGGATAAACAGTATAAAAGAAAATCTTAATGAATATGGTGGCATTCTGCAGGCAAGCCATTAAAAAATCACCATTATTGTAATATAATTGACACATAAAATTGAATATACTTAATGTGTATAATGTAATGACTTGATATACATACACATTATGAAATGATTACCATAATAAAGTTCATTAACATAACAACACCTCACATAGCTACTTTCTAAAAAGTTTTGGTGAGATTGCTTAAGATCTGCTTCTTTATGAAAATTCAAATAAGCAATACAGTACTGTCAACTATAGTCACGACATGGTGTGCATCCAGTCTGCAGAACTTATTCATCTTATAACTGAAATTTTGTACCCTATGACCAACATCTCTCCATTCCCCCACTTCAGTTCCTGGTAACTACAATTCTATACTATGTTCCAATGAATGTAACTTTTTTTGTTGTTTCGGATTTCACCTGTAAGTGATACCATACTGTATTTTTTATCCTTCTGTGATTGGCTTATTTTATTTGGCATAATGCCCTCCAGCTTCGTTCATGTTGTAAATTCTAGAATTTCCTTATCATTACATGGTTGCATAATATTTCTATATGCCACCATTTCTTTATCTATTTACTTCTCAATGGATACTTTGGCTGTTTCCAGATCCTAACTGTTGTGAATAATTTTGTGATGAACATGAAAATGCAAATATTTCATCAAGATAATGATTTTGTTTCCCTTGAATATATACCCAGATGTGAAATAAGATTGCTGGATTATATGGTAGTTCTATTTTTAATGTTTTGAGGAACCTCCATATATAATTTTTCATAATGGGAGTACCAATTTACATTCCCACCAACACTGTACAAGGGTTCCCTTTTGTTCACATTTTCTCCAAAATTTAACTTTTGTGTTTTTTAGCCATCCTAACAGGTGTGAGGTGTCTTACTGTGCTTTTGACTTGCATTTCCCTGATTATAGTGGGTAGCTCCTTTCTGCAGGCAGGTCATTCCAATGAGTGTCCGACTCTCAGCAGATAGGAAACCCATAGTGGGTAGCTCCTTTTACAAGCAGGTTGTCCCAACAACTGCGTAAATCTGGCTGAGTCTGCAGTTTTTATGTCTTCAGAATGGAGACATAAGCAACTGCTGACCATTTATGTATTTGTTTGGAAATCTCTATTTGAGACCATTTTAATTTTTAACTATTTATCTTGTCTTCTCTTTATTTTGTCTCAAAATATTTTAGTTTTGGTATAAAGTTGTTAAAAAATACAATTATTTATAAGATAACATCATTAAATAGGATATAATTGTATATTGCAGATAATTATGTAATGAAAAAAAGTAAATCCATGCATACAGTGACTACTTTCAATATTTTCTTCTGGGAGTTATAAAGATAAGTTACTCAGGATTTATTTTTATTTAAGAGCTGTTGAATATCCCTATCTCTTGAATAAAAATATATAATTTCTGAGAAATATATAAAGAAAAACAATGAGATAATCTTGATGTGGATAACAGAACTCCAGAAAGAATAAGGCATATTATATTCCTCTAGAATAAGTTAGTTTACTGACAGGCTAGAAGGAAGGACATTATTAAGCGTACTTCTGTAGAAAAAATACTTAAGCAATATTCTATTTATCATATGGTAATTATTTTCTATTGGGAAAATTACATACTTGTTCCTTTTAATCTTTTATTTATCAGCACATAGTGGTGCATTATCTTTTTTTTTTTTTTTTTTTTTTGCATATCTATCATGTCTCTTCTTCTGTAACTAGTTACTTTCTTTCTTTCTTTTTTTTTTTTTTTGAGACAAAGTCTCTGTCACCCAGGCTGGAGTGCAGTGGCAGGATCTCAGCTCACTTCAACCTCCACCTCCCAGGTTCAAGCAATTCTCCTGCCTCAGCCTCCTGAGTAGCTGAGACTACATGCACGCACCACCACACCCGTCTAATTTTTGTATTTTTAGTAGATACAGGATTTCACCATGTTGGCCAGGCTGGTCTCAAACTCCTAACCTAGTGATCTGCCTGCCTCGGCCTCCCAAAGTGCTGGGATTACAGGCGTGAGCCACTGTGCCCAGCCTGTTACTAGTTACTTTCCACAGACTGTTCCAGCCTTTTAACCTACTTGTAGTCACAGGATCCTTAGGGTGTCACATTTCCATTCGGAAACCTCTGTGGCTGGTGGCATCTTTGCCCTAGTTTTGCTTAGGCCCGCTGGGCTCATTCTGCCCACTTGGCTTGGCAGACTGCACTCGACTCATGCTACCAGCCTGGATCCCACACCTGCCAACGGTGAGCCAGGTGGGCAGCAGCAAGGGGCGTGTGGGCTAGCGAGCATGGCGTTTTTCCACTGCACACAGCCAGGCACACTGGCTGCTGCAGCAGAGCGGGCAGCTCCAGGCACTGGCTCAGGTGCTGGCTCCGTGAAAGGCTGTGGCTGGATCAGATGTACCACAAATGGATTCTGCTAGGGGCACCCACATCTGGACAAGGGGAACGTGGTGGCAGCCGGATGATTGGAGATGCCAGGAACCCTCAGAGAGCCCCAAAGAGGGTGTCACAGTCCTGGCTTGGGGAGCCCCTAGGTCTGGGCTCCCCAAAGGGCCACAGCTCTTCTCTCCTTCTTGTTGCCTGCAACGTGGTGAATGGGGGGTATATTGTGGCCCTGTTTGTGTTACAGCTTTTTCAGTCCTGCATTTGGTGGGTCCTGACTTCTTGTCCTACATTCGGAAAGAATGAAGTGTGCAGACAACTGGAGGGTGAGCAAGGCAGAGAGGAGCTTCACTGAGTGACAGAAAAGCTCTCAGGAGACCCGTAGTGGGTAGCTCCTTCCCACAGGAAAGTCATCTCAATGAGTGTCCAGCTCTCAGCAGATAGGAAACCCATAGCCGGTAGCTCCTTTCTGCATGCAGGTCATCTCGATGAGTGTCCAGCTCTCAGTGGAGAGGAGACCCATAGTGGGTACTTCCTTTTATAGGCAGGTCTTCCCAGCAAGTGTGTAAATCTGGCCGAGTCTGCAGTTTTTATGTCCTCAGAATGGAGAAAGTGCATGCTGATTGGTCCATGACTGGCCACAGGTGTTCCTGGAAAAAGGACCATCCAATTGGCCAAATGGTCATCAATGAAGTTCTCACTCCTGGCTGCAGACTTCACCTGGAACTGGCAGCCCAGTCCCCAGCCTTCAGGCCGGCCCTGGCCTGAAGGTGGGGTTTCACTGGGGACCCACCACTTCCCACCTAGGAGCCTGTCTGCCTTTTACATGCCATCCATAGATCCCAGGCTGTCAGTGCTGAGAGGTACCCACGGGTCCGCCCTGAACCTCCCTCAGTCCCCCTGGACCCCCTTGCATGCTCATTGGTGCCCAAAGTCCGGAGGGGGCTGAGGTGGCCCGAGGCCAATGTGTCAGCACTGCACTGAGTGTGCGCAAACCCGGCTGGGTTGCAACAGTGCCTGGGCTCGGCCACAACTTTGCTCTGCCCCACAGCAGGCACCAGGATTGAGGAGAGGCCAGGGAGCAGAATTGGCACTTTCAAGCCTGCAGTGGCAGGGGATTTCCTGGGCCCCAAGTGCACCTGGATGCCCAGGTCTGGAGCCGCGGCTGGGTGGCTGCAGCTACACCCAGGAGTGTGGGACTCCCACCTGTTCCTGGCCTCTGCCGGCTCCTCAGAGCATGCAGCCCCAGTGGCACCTCCCTCGCCACAGCTGGCTTCCCCAGAGCAGCTGCTCCAGATGGGCTGCTGCCACCAAAAGAACTTTTAACCTTTTTTTGCCTTACGATCTTGAAACATCCTGCCAACTCAAAGCTGAGAAATGTTAACTTCAGATAATTTTTTCCAGACCAACCACTCTCTCCCCCTTCATTAAAATTTTTAATGTTATTATACTTTGTTAAATTAAGCTGAGGAAACAACTAAGATATCTCATAAAAGGAAACAGTTACTTGAGAAGTTTTTCTAAAATGCCATGTTAATTGAAGTTTTCTTCACTAAAACTTATGACAAAAGTAGGCAAAAAAAGAAATAACAAGAAATAGGTTGAATAAGGTTGAAGACATTTAGGTCTCTATATTTACTCAAGCTTAGAACAAGTCATATCTAATCATAGTTGTCTACAAACTTTCTATGCCTCCTGAACTAGGACGTGGTCTTGTCCCTCTTTATATTTCTAGTCTGAGTTTCATTATTGGTATAGTATGAGCTTCTATATGTGAAATTTTTTTTTCCAAAAAATTCATAGCTAATTCACTACAGAATTCAGTAGAGCAGTTTACTCCCATATACCTTAGTAAGAATACAAGCACAATCAATAAGTCATTGAACTTATTGTGCTACTAGCAATGTGAATGCACATATTTTTAATGATTCTGATACTGTTTCCTTCTCTATGTAATGAGAACAATAATGCTTACTCGTAAGATGTAAAACAAATCACCTTCTACAAATTTACTAATTCCAAGTCATCAAGAATTTTTGCCCTTTTTATTATGTTCATTCAGACTCATGACCTGTAATGTTCCCTTAGTCAATGCTTTAAAACTATGCTGTTTTGATTACAAATCCAATATGATTTAACAATTTTCAAAATTTGTATAATAGTTTGTTGTCATTTCTCAAATTTTAACATATAATTATCTTTCATCCACTCCCATCTATAGTATCTTAATTTGATACTACTAGTCATGCTTTGTGAGCTAAATTAAATTTCAAAAGTGAAAAAATGAACTTTTTAGTAACTGTGAATCGAAGAATTAAAAATTTTGTCTCGAGTTACATTAATCAAAACCATCAATTTTCAAGTAGTGAGTAACCATATTTTTAATGTGCCTCAGTATGAAGATAGAACATCACTGTGAAGAACTTATCTTCTTTTGTGTGTGTTTCCTGAATACATTCATTTCCAACAGACTTGGGGATATTATCTTATCTTACTTTCTAGAGGTAAGCAAGATAAAGATGTAAGACTGCTTCAATGAGCTATAATGAGTGTTTATTTCTGTATGTTTTATGGATGCATACATGTTTTGGGGAAGTCATTTATTCTTTAGTTATTGAGTATTCACACCCAATGAAAACATAATAAATATTGAAAAGCACAAAATACCATTTGAGGTAGGCAAAGGTGAGTACATAGAATTTACAAAGGGTATAAATTTTGTACCCTCATTCTCTTTTCTGGACTGAAGATGAATCTTAGTAAGTTGTGTTGTGAATTGATTTGAGCACCTGGATCACTGAATTAACTCTGACCAACTAAGAAGAAATGCTAATGTAAGGAGAATAGAAGCTCCAGATATATTTTAATATTATTTGCTTTAGTTAGATTTTTTAATTATTTAGATTTAAGATTTTTAAAAATAACTTTATTGATATTGCTCCTAAATTGAAAACAAGTTATTGTGTGTTAGGTGAAGCCTATGGTATGAAAAAAATATTCCACTTTTTGGAGAAAGGAGTTAAACACAGAAGTTTAAGGCTATGCAATTTTGACATTGTAAAAATCTGCTTCCCAGAGAACTATAGAATGTGATTTCATTTTGATTTTCATTAGCAAGAAACCCTAGTAATATGATTAAAATAGCAAAATGTATGTCAAGATCTTTAAACTTTATAGTAATAACAAGGCAATAATTTTAATTCACTATGAAACATATCTGGACTGGACCATATTTTCAAATGTAGTATTGTTGCTCTCAAAAACCTAGAATAGTTATTTTTAAAGACAATTATCTCATTAAAATTTTTAATGTTATTATTAAATTAAGCTGAGGAAATAACTAAGATATCTCATAAAAGGAAACAGTTACTTGAGAAGTTTTTCTAAAATGCCATGTTAATTGAAGTTTTTCTTCACTAAAACTTATGACAAAAGTAGGCAAAAAAAGAAATAACAAGAAATCGGTTGAATTCCCAGCAGGTTTTTCATGGATGGTATCATCCCATTAAAAGTGTGAACTTTCAGAAGATGTTTCTGTGAGAGCAGCTTGCACCCAGAGCCAGAGAAAGATAATAAGAAAAAAAGAGTGGTGTTTAAAGTACTCTGTGGAATGAAAGAAGGGTATGTGTTTGTGTGTTCAGCTCTCATGGATGTAAAACTCTACAAGGAGAAGAAGAGACTAGAGAGGAATTTTATGAAAGAAGACTAGATGGCAACCCGATTCTCTCTGTGCCTGTCATTCTTCTAAAACTCAACACACTAATGATCTGCAATAGTTGTCTAGGCTTTTGGTGGCATTTCAAATTTTGTTTAATTTCATATGTTACTGATGAATGTTTCATACCTTACATCAAAGGAGTAACATTTTAGAGCATTTCATCTTGAATATTGGGACTAACATGTTATAATCAACTAGAATTTTATTATTAATCAAGACCTGTAGTATCCAATATGTTAAGCACCAACTATATACGGATATCGGATATTTGAAATGTGACTAGTCTGAATGAGCCATGCTTATGTGTAAAATAAACACTGAAATTTGAAGATCAAAAAAGGTACAAAAGCTATATTCATAATTTTATAGTGATTACATGCTAAAATATTATATTTTGGGTATATGAGATTCCATGAAACAAATTACATAAATTAATTTCACATATTTCTTTTTAACTTTTTCATATAGCTGCTCGCAAATTTAAAATTACTTTTTTGGTTTAATTATATTTTTATTGGATTGTACTGATCAGAATTTAGCCAGAAGTCTTTCCCAATGCACTCTGACTTTTGGATGCATGACAACAAATGATTTGACAAATGATATTATCATACATTCAGTAACTTCTCAAACCAAGGAGAAATGATATTAAGAATATAATTTATGGAATATGGGGAGGTAGAAATTGAATATATCAAACTGAGAAAACAATCAATGCATTTTATGAGCATTCAGTAAATTGACAGTCTAAGAAACAGGTGGCTGAAGTTTGTTACTGGGAATATGATGAGTAAACTCATCTTCCATGGATACTCAGTTTCTTCATAAATTAAAGTCATGTCTTGATAGAGAAACATGATCAATAGTATATACAATTGGTAAAATAGAGTTCTGGGTGCTACTCCATTAAGTCATGAGATAACCCAGGGATTTGGTGACTGCTGTTGGGAAATTTACAATTATAACAATGCTGGAATAATTGTTGAATTCTATGTGTTATCAGAAATATGTGATACCTGCTTGACTGACTTTAGTGAGGGAATGTTATTAGTTCTTCCCATGTACCACTAAAATAGTGCAAAACTAGTGATTTGAGAAATGTCATCTACAAGAGATTGTCAATGGTGGCTTCATTATAAACTCGGAACCACCAAAACTATTATCAATCTGTTATACTTCCTAATTACCCTAAATGAGGAACTTTCATGCTGGAGAATTAATGAAATTTATAAATGTGCTATTGCTCATTAACAAGAAGAGAAATATGTTTCCGCTTAGAGTGCACGTTGGAAGGACTTTTGAGTACAGTGCTTCCTAAATTTTAATTTACTTAGAATTACCCAGGGATCTCTCAAAATATCCAGATTCAATAGGTTATGGATGATGTTTGAAGTTGTATATTTTTTAACAAAATCCCATTTGGACCACTAGGAGACTATAGATTATGGCTTAAAAATTGGATGCAACTAATCCAGATCCCTGGCCATTAAATTTTTCTAGGTAAAGCCTCAGGTTTTAACAAAAAAAACCCAAAGGATCTACTGGTGACTCACTATTTTGTAGTCAACAGGTTTAAGGAACAAACAAAGACATAAAAGGAATACAACAAAAATGAGTCAATTAATAAGGATAATTCTATAGATACTGGAATGGAATAGAGTAACAGAAAGTAAGTATTCCAAAGTTAAATTTGCCACATGTGAGATCCCAGGAAGAGTAAGATCCCAAGAAGGACCTAAGATAGGGTACTTCAAATAAAACATGGCCATCCTAGACCTTCCACCACAGAAAGCCTTTTTTAATTTTATCTTGATCATAATAGGTATTCACCTTTGGTATTGTCACTATTGAAAGTCTAATACCTTTACTCACTGCAAATACCAACATGTCAAAGTCAGACTCATTAACCAATTCAGGTATACCTGAAATACTGAGAGATAAAATTACTATCATAAGATGTTATATTTTGGTGGATACAGTCATTAGAATGTCAGATGAATCCATATGTGATTTTGGAAGACAAATAACTTCCCAGGAAAAAAAGTGTACACCATAAAAGGGCCTTCTACAAAAAAAATTATAAATATAGCTATTAAGTCAAACAATCACAGTTCCAGGAATAATCACAATAATTACCAATTCATTAGGAAAAAATATAGCTAATATAGATTTAGACTCAATTTACATGGAAGTTCAATTACAAAGAGCCATTAATGTATGTCTTCATCTTCTCATCTAACATACAGAGAAAAAATTGCTGGAAATTTTGAAAAATGTATTTTGGCTTTATTTTTGTTATTTCTTGAGGGAAGATCTAATTATTTGGAAGATATTTCTAACTCAAGTTTTAGGGACATATGTCCTTAATTAGAAAAAATAATAATAAGGAAACACACTGAATTCACCAAGAGGCAGTACATAGAGGAAATTTATGAAATGAGTATATTGCACGTGACATCAGTGAAGGAAAGAAAAACTAAAATGGGGCAGATATTTGGCAGTCATAGCACCTGTAATCCTATATTATACCAATAATGAAGTATCAGAAACATAGCTTACAAATTATTTCATTGCTGATATATAGCATAAACTTCAGTATCTCTCCCTAAAAAATTACAGTGGAAATGTGCCTAGTGTCCAATATTGCTATAATTAGCACATGATCTAATTCAAAGGCTGACCAGACACGTACCCAGTTTTTTATATCTTATATTTAAAATTCTAACGACTATTATTACAATGATGTATTTCCTAGGAAGAGAAGGTAGAGGGAAACTTCATTATTTTACTACTTGGAACGTTATGAGAAACACTGCCTAGACAATATCCAGTCTCTACTTTTCCCTCGTAAACGGAGCAGGAATTTTGTTCATGGAAGTTCCAACAATACCACGTGAATGGAAGATTACTGGATATACTACCAAAAATCTTTTTTTTTTTTTTCATGAAAGACGATTGGAATATACATTGTGTCGTTGGCTTTTTGCTCCTCCTCCTTTCTATTTGCTGATCATGAGGGCATGGTGACTAAAACACAGCAGTTATCTCGTGAGCTTGAAGAAACTAACATACATATGATGAGTGACAGAGAAACAGAGCTATATGAAATATACGACTAGAGAACAGACATGGGGTCAGAGAAGCCACTATACCAGCCTTGAATTGATTACTTCTAATTTCTGACAAGGGAATAAGGAAACTCCTTGTTTAAAATTATTCTGTTAGATTGCTGCAAGATGCAGGAAGAAAAGGCTAACTTACATTTTTAATGGCCACATACAAAGGGGTATCAGTATATGTATATTACTAGGAAATGTGAGCTTATTCCTCTTATTGTTTGCAGATATGTTAAGATATTTCATACAAAATAACACTAAAAAGAGAAGTTTATAATGCTGTCAAAAAAATAAAGTGATGAATTCATAACACTATGCCAACGCTAACATTGGCATGTTTGTTGAAAGATTTTACCTTCATTCATATTTCAGTAGGCCTTAATATATTACATGAATAAATATCTGTGTATATCCTGTCTTGCATTTTAAAATTATTATAATTACAATTAAAATACCATAAAATTCTATGTCTATTTTAGATTATTGAAACTGTTCTCAGAATCACCCAAGAAAATTTTTGTGTAACAAATTCAAATCAAAATTTAAACACATAAAGTCAAATATCCTCCCAAGGCAAATTAAATATTCAGTGATCGAATAGTCTTGATTTAATAGCTATTGTCAACAGGACTACAGGGCACAGTGCTTTGCTTGTGGCCATAGTTTTCTATGATGTTTTTCAAAAGTTAGTTCTACAATTTAACAGGTGATTGTTTTCTTCTTTAAATTTGACACTTGGAAATGTTTCACTAGAATGAAAAATTATGGATCAGTCTTCTTTACACCATTTTATTGTTTGAAGTAGTTAAGCAAGCACACATGGTTCAAGTAAATGGTATTCAACCTGAGGCTGTAAAAAGTAGTATAGAGAACCCAGCCGGAAAATGAGGTTTTCAGTAAATATCTAATTATCTTTAAAAATTTAGGACAGTAAGTGGAAATTTATGTCTAGAATGTAGTCTATTATACAACTGGGAAATATCTGTCAAATTGGATAACATTTGGTGATAAACTGTCAAAAATTTTAAATAATATATAATAATTGCACATATTTTGGAGGTACATATATTTGTACATATAATTGTACATATATAATATATAATAGTATAATTGTACATATATAATAATTGTACATATTTTGGAGGTACATGTGATATTTTGATACCCATATACATTGTGTAATGATCAAATCAGGACAATTGGGATATCTATAACCACAAACATGTATCTTTTCTTTGTGTTGGGAACATTATAGATCTTCTTCTAGCTGTTTCAAAATATACAATAAATTATTGTTAGCTACAATTTCTTTTCTGTACTATCAAATACTGTAACTTAATCTATTAGATAAGATCTATTAGATAGTATATATTATCAAATACTATAGCTTTCTATTTGACTGTATTTTTGTACCTCTTAACCAACTTCTCTTCATCCTCCTTCCTTCCTTCCCTTCCCAGCCTCTACTAACCACCCTTCTTCTCTACCTCCAGGAGATTCACTTTTTTAGCTCCCTCATGTGAGCACGAACAGGCAATATTTGTCCTTCTGTGCCTGGCTTGTCTCACGTAACACAGTAAAATTTAATACCTTCCATGTTGCTGAGTACTAATAGATTTTATTAAAATCGTCCTGTGTATGCCAGTATCTTAAATGGATTTCACGTTAAACAGATGTTTCACTAAAAGTGCAATCAGATAACTAAGAATAAAACCTATATGAAAAATAAAAAATGTTAAGACATCTTTGTTAGATTTTGATATTAATATATATGCTCTTGTTTTATCTTTATGTCAAATTTTAGCTGTTTCTGTATTCAAATGTATCTATTGGTCACTGTTCAAAATTAAGAAAGATGATATTAAAGGGCCAATCTAGAAACTTTAACATTGTATACATCATTATGAATAAAGCAAACTTTGGGAGAGAATATAGATATATGAGTTATTTTTTCTCCTGTAATCTTTTGCTTTGTCAATATTAATTTTTATAAAATTAACATTTTAGGGAATATTTGAGGGTTAGTAAAACTATGTCCTCATTAAACAATCGGTAGATTGTGGATAAGCTTTGTATTCAAAATGAAGGTAATCTATAAAAAGAGGCATGAGACCAGATTACTCAGTGTTTACTGTTGGCAATATGGTAAGTGTATCCAAATCTATAGGCAATTTTTTGTCTATAGCCATAAAAGAAAATATTATTTGCTATAGTTAATTTATCATACATGTAAATAAATTGATTTCCCCAAAATAATTAAAGAGACAATCTATTTTATGCCACCATTCTGGTGGGTGTGTATTCACAATGATTTTTTTTAGATACTGCAATTTGCCCACTACCTAAAGTGTTCCCCTGTAGGTCTCTTTTCTTCAGTCTAATATGCATATCTTGTAGTAGCTTTATTTAAGTTAATAATTCCTCTGATTATCTGTCCAAAAATTGGCTCTACAAAATATTAAGTTCAAACAGTTTTACTAGCTTTACAGTTTTCTCTATAGCTAATTCTATTTTCTATAATTTATTTTCAACTACAACAAGACATCTCTCCTGCAGCAAATTATTTCTCTGTGTATTCAATGCGTACATTTGTTACATTATAAAGCTTCTATTCCTATTATCTTTTCAACCAAGCATTTTACCTTATACACCTTTCAAAGAACACCATAGATTTCATATTACTCAAGGTTTCTTCAAGCTTGCAAATATCCCGTCTCGCTGTACTTATCTACAATTCAGCACATGATATTTTCTTCATTTGCAACATGTAATACCAATTATCATGTATTTTCTTAGTATTTGAACACAAATTTCTGTCACTAGATTTTAAGCCACTCGAACTTTCCTGGCTGGTCTCTGTATAATGACATATGTCAGTTTACCACAACGTTCATACAACTGGCTTGATCCCTGCCACATACCAAAAACTCAAGAAATAACAAATAAATAGCCAAATAAACCACAAAATTTCTTTTGTAATTCCCTTTGTACCTTGGAAGAATCACTATACTTAGAATTATGTAAGAATTTTATTTAGTATCATTATTATTATTACTATGAATAACATATTAAGCAGGAAGTTTGAACTATAAATTTTTTATCAATCTCAGATTTATCATGCATTTTTCATGTTATTTAATAAAATTAAAATATATTTAAAGATAAGTTTAGGAATACAAAGGCATAGTTCTGACTTCTTTAACTGAAGATAAATATATATTTAAAATTTTTCATTGACAAATAATTGTATGTGAAGTACAGTGTGATGTTTTGATACATATAACAATGGTATATATTTATGGGCTACAATGTGAGGTTTTGAAATATACATACATACACACATACACATATTGTAGAAAAATTAAGTCAATATAATGAATATATTTATAACCTCACCTAAATACATTTTTTTGTTGGTGGAAATCCTCAAAATCTACTCTTTCAGTAATTTTGAAATATATGATATTATTAACTATGCTCACCATGTTGAGGAATACATCCCTAAAACTTCTTCCTCCTGTGTCACTGGAGCTTTGTACCCTTTCAGCAACATTTCTCCTTTCTCTATCCCACACCTCCCTCCAGCCTCTGTAAACACCATTCTATTCTCTGCTTCTATAGGTTCAAATTTTACATGTCACATATAAGTGAGATCAAGCAGTATTTGTCTTATTGTGCTGACCTTATTTTACTTAGAATAATGTCCTCCAGGTTCATCTATGTTGTTGCAGATGACAGAATTTTCTTTTTGGGGCTATATAGTATTTCATTGTGTATACATACCACATTTTATCATTCTTTTATTTGTTGATGGGCAAAGGTTGATTCCATATTTTTGCTACTGTGAATAATGGGGCAATATATGTGGGAATAAAGATTTCTCTTTGACACATTGATTTTATTTTCTTTGGATGTATATCCGTAAGTGAGATTACTGGGTCTTATGGTGGTTTTAGTTAAAATTTTTTGAGGGCCCTCCATACTGTTTTTAAAAATGACTGTAATAATTTACATTCACACCAACAGTGCAACAAGGTTCCCCTTTAAGCACATTCTTGTCAATATTTGTTATCATTTATCTTTTTGTTAATAGCCGTTCTAACATGTGTAAGGTCGTATATCATTTTGTATCAAATTTGAGATCCATCCAGCTTGTTGAATAAGTTGATTATTTGTTCATTTTATACCATATCATATTCCTTGAATGAATATCTCACAATTTCGAACATCAAAATTTTCCTGGTAATAAACATTTGGTTTGATATTATCTCACAGCTCTGGAATGCACTGATGTTTTGAACTTTAAAAATTATTTTTATATGTATTTCTCTCTCACTCTTTCTTCCCATCCCCTACCCATCTTGATTAGGTAAATGTTTGTTGTTTTATCTTCTAGATGACTGTCTTCTCAGTTGTATTGTTTACTAATGAGCCTCTGAAAGTGTTTCATCTCTTTTATTATGTTTCATGTCTAGCATTTCCATTTGATCCTTTTCTTAAAGTTACTATCTCTCTGATAAAATTACCTATCTAATCTTGCTTATTGTCCACTTTTTTCATTAGAGTTTTTAACGTTATATTTAATGTTAGATTTAAAATAACACCGTTATCTTAAATTCCTTACCATATACTTACAGTATTGTTACTAAAACACCAGGGATTCCGGACTCAGTCCTGCTGCTTGCTGCACAGAGAGCCAATCACTGAGGTGCCAAGTATTGCCAAGGAAGAAGGCTTTAATAGGGCGCTGCCAGCTGAGGAGATGGGAGCTCCGTCTCAAATCCATATCCCTGACTGACTAAAACCAAGGGTTTATATAGCAGGCAAGAAATGTAACAATGTGTAAGAAAACAGGAACTTGGGAGAGGCACAGAAGGAATCATGGTGAATGAGTGGTCCTATATTTGGTGACACCTGGTGTGGCGAGCTGGTTTCAGTTCTTTGATATTTTTTGTGAGAGGCCTAAAGGTCATTTCCTGAGGAAGAAACTTAGATGAAACAAATATAAATTTCAAGCTTTTTAAGATCAAAAGGGTCAATTTCTATGTTTATATTTAAAAAACAGTCAATCTATAGGACAATCGGGTCAATTTCAGAATTTATGTCATATTTAAGTCTGATTTGTGATTGTTTTGTCACTTAGCACAATGTTGTTCTTTCTTACCTTCTCATATACCTTGGAATTTTTTATTGAAAGCTGGATATCCTGTGTAGGAAAGTACGGAACAAGGTAAATCCATTTAATGCCAAAAATTAGTACACCCTTACTTCTAATAGCTCTTTATTGCAGTAGTTTGAGTTAATTTTTTCAAGAAGTGGCTTGTATTTGATATTTGTTGTTCTCTTTACCCTTGGGGCAGCACAGATTTTAAATTATTCTAGCATTATCTTATGTTAGAATGTGAGCTTGTTTGCCAGAGGACTTTCTTAATGCTATATATTTATGCTTCCTCTTTGCTCTAGACCTCAGTGTGCATCTGTCTCTATTTTCTTGAAAATGTTTCTGCAAAGTTCCATGATTGTTGAATCCAGTGCTTTTTCTGGGGTGGAATGGGGAGAGATGGGATCTCTTTGTTGCCCAGGCTGGAGTGCTGGTGGGCAGTGGTGTAGTGGCTATTCACAAGAGTGCTCCTAGTGCATTGTGCTTTTGAGCCTGGTGCTAGGTAGCAGAGACTGGTGCATTCTCTAGCTTTCCTAGCCACAGTTTTAGGTAAGTGCTTTGTCCCTGTGTCTCTGGACTATAGCTTCAGTGTACTTTCCCCTTTCCTAGCTCCACTCCTGGGCCCAGCATTTTTTCTGTTTTTCTTCCTGTGCTAGAGGATTTTCTGTTTCCTTCTTCTAACTGCAATGGGTTGTTGCGAGTAACATAAAGTATTTGTTGCGATTCCTCCAGCAGATTAAGGCTTTTGTTATACACAGGAAATAGGGGAGAATGTTTCAGCCTGGGGATTTTGCGTCTCTCACATGTCTGCTGTTTCTGTCCTTCTGACCTACTCCTTGAGGATGCTTTTTCAGGACCATTTCTACCCTTTTTGTTTGTTTTATTTTGTTTTGGTCATGTCTGATGGAAGAATAAGGATTAAAATAGGATAAAAATTACCTCTATAATCTGCAGATCTTGGGGCTTTATACTTTCTCATCAGCCGATGCTTGAACTCTACCAATTTGTTAACTCTCCTAAAGAGATTCTTTATATAGAGTGTCTGGCTGCATCTGCTCCATCTAAGCAAGTACCTAAATCCTGTCCCTCCATTAATGCACTTGATTCCGTAGATTCTCTGTAGGTTAAAGGAAAGGGTGAAATCGGAGGGCTAATATTGTTTTATTTTTATTTTTATTTTTATTTTTCTTGGAGAGTGACACTGTATCCAAGTCTCTATATCGTGAAAGGAAATCTGAAGTCTCAAGTTATTTCCTGAGATGTTACAAACATGGTCAATTCCCAAAAGTAGTTATGTAGTCTAGTGCTGTAAGTTCCAGTGTTCAGAAAATGAAACAGTGGTAATGATCAAACCCACACACTTTAATCTGGATTTATGCTTTCATTCAAAAGGACTGATTCTAAAGTGAAAATCCCTCAAGTAATTCATTTATTTTATTCTTCAGTCAAGAAGAACACATTTTCTACATGCTGGGTTTTAACTTACTCGGCTTAATTAATGATTTGATTAAATCACGAGTTCCAAGGTTGTATTTCCTCAATGCGTAAGTTAACAGGATATCTTATTATTCTTCAGGTTAAAACTGCACTGCCATTTATTAAGTAATCCTCTGTTCTTTTTTGTGAACTTCAAAGGATAGTTAAAGAATAAGCTGCAAAATACCCTGGGAAAATTTCAAATTATATTGTAGATCTAACTACAGAAATACAAAAAGAAATATACACTGCCTTTAAGGTCAATAAGTGTCCTTATTTTATGCTTTTACTTATATTTTTGAGTCTATATTTAAAGTATAAATTATTAAACCTACTTCACTTTTTTCACTTCCTGATCTTAATGCTTTTTTAAAACTATTCGTTCTTTATTTAAAGATTTGTGGAAGTAGGTATAATGCATTGGTGTCCAAGGGGGAGAGTGACTCTCAAAATAATGAGACTTAATTTATAATTTTTACTTATTTTCATCATTCCATGTTGTGTATATAATCATCACAGCCCATTTTAATCTAGCAATTTGCTATCATTGAATATATACAAGGGGAGAAATTTACAACCAATTTTTGTTAGCTAGTACAAGCAGCTTCTTTTAGTCTACTTTAAATGATGTGATGACTCAATTTATGGTCTGAATGTGTGCTTAGTAACATAACAATTGAGGATGTTTGAGAATCTTTCTTTTCACTCCAAAATTAAGGTTCAACTGTCAAATACAATGTTTTATAAGAGTGGTAAATCATTTCTTTCTCTCTCTCTTTTATTTCCCACACCATTGCTCTCATTCCATAAGAAGCTGAGAGCAAAAACCTGTTTCTTGAATTAATGTTCTTTGGAGTAAAAGATTTTACCTCAAATATTGAACAATTGTCCCTTCATTTAGTATTTAAAAGCAGAAGAAAATACCATGCACCAGAGAAATCAGGAGGCTAAAATCCTGATGATTTAATTATGTTTTTGGCTTTACTACAAATGAAATATAATTGGTTTGGTATCAAAAACATTTTTAAAACAATACAAATAAAAAACAAATATTATACTGATAAACGATTTCTTCCTTTTTAAAAAGTAGAAGAAAGGGGAACTATGTAGAAAAATGTACAATTTTTCCAACTAAATTAATGCAAGGTGTGTAAAGATCAAAGAAGGGGAGTTTAGCATAAAAACTACCCAGGATTGTTTATTCTTATAATTTATCATAAGATCAGCCACTTGATATACAAAAACAAAATATTTATTTTTGGAATATACTTGTCTTTCAGCATTAAATTAATATTTTAAAAAATTAAGAACTGAGAAAAAAACAGCCAACAATGTAAAAAAATGAGAAATAATCAAAATAAAACAAGCAAGAAAAGAACTAAAGCAATACCTTTAAAAGCTCTGAGTAAAAACAGGAAATAAAATTCCTATTTCTAAGGATATATCAATCTAAATCTTTAAAGATTTAAATAACATGCTGATTGAAATGTGAATATATCTTTCTGCATTATTTAATAATATTCAAAACTTTATTGTGTCATGAAAATATTTTATTTAAATAATTTTTATATGAACATGAAAAAAGGAATAATGTATAGTTGGCAATGGCTTTTGAAGTAAAAAAAATAAGTTTAATTTTAGAGATCAGAATTGAAATTTGTTGCTATGACCATTGATTATTTCTTAAATGTCTTCATTGCATGATTAATTTAAAAATACAAGGACATTTAGAGGTGAAAATCATTTAATGTAATTTATATCAACCACCTAATTTTATAAACAAGGGAACTGCTATCCCAAAATGATAAATGTTTTTCCCAAAGCTTTGCAGTGTTGCTGTTCAATAATGTTAACATACTCAGGCTAAGCATGGTGGCTCATGCCTATAATCCCAGCATTTTGGGTGGATTAGGCAGGGGAATGGCTTGAGCCCAGGAATTGGAGACCAGCCTGAGAAACACAGTGAGACCTTGTCTCTACGAAAAAAAAAAAAAATTAGCTAGACATGGTGGTGCACACCTGTAGTCCCATGTACTCCGGAGGCTGAGGTAGGAGGATCTCTTGAGCCTGGAAGGCTGAGGCTTCAGTGAGCCATGATTGTACCATAGCACTCCAGCCTGGGCAACAGAGTAAGACCCTGCCTCAAAATATAATACAACAACAACAACGACAACAAAACAATACTCAATTCCAGCTATTGAATGATTCCATCTACAATTAATTGATGTAAGTGACCTAATCCAGGTAACGCTTCCATCTCATTAAAAAAGACTATGTATGTAACATTTAGCTGTTTATAAGTAATAATTCTATAACATTTTATAAATATTTACAGAATCTCACTGACACAATTTACTGTATCATTGTACTTACGTTTGCAAAATAATTAACAATGTTTATTAAAATTATTTTGAAAATTAAAATAGCACTTAAAACATTTTATGATATTTCTGCTAATTAAAATGATTTGCTTCAGAGAAATTATTTTAGTAGTTGAAGTCAATTATTAGCAAGGTTAATGTAAACCACTTGTTTGACCTTGCATTAACCACAGCTTTTCATAACATGTCATCTAAAATCACAATGCCTATATTTATTTTGTTTGCAAGTTTAGCCATTGCAAACTGGAACAACAAAAGTAGCCTCCCCTTAGGGTTGTTGTGAAGATTAAATGATTCTCTCTCTCTATGTGTTTGTGTGTGTGTGTCTGAGAGAGATACATATATATATATATGCCTGATAATATTCTAAACCATTGAATAATATCAGGCAGATAGATATTGCCCAGTGAATTTAAATTATCATTATTACTTTATCGATATTGGATAGGAAAGTATCATATTACAAAGTAAGATATCATAGTTAAAAGTTCACAATATGAAGAAATGCACGTGACCACGTTCCCCTAAGTCACTTTCCTAAACAGTGCATATAAATGTTGAGGACAATCTCAGTAAAGTGTTAAGATTATTTTTATACCATCTAAAGTAAAAGATAAGGATTTGAAGGTTTGGGATGTTTGCTTTCTGGATTTCATTTGGTTTGTTTTTTCAATCCTTAGATGCTTTTTTTGTCATTGCTCACCAAAGATGTTTATGCTTTTTCTAATTTTCAGTGAAATGGCTACACAAATCTAAAAATTGTGGGAGGAACAGAATTTAATATATGTGTCTCTTCATATAGACTGAATTTAGTAAACATGATGTGCATAATAGAATAGAATCTGGTTTGTACATATATGAAGAGGGTTAAATAACATTAATACTGATATATTTTGAGTGTTCAGATGATTATTTTAATACCCCATATACAGTCAAAATTTTAAGTTATTTTGATATATTCTAATTCAAGATATCTCAAGTAGGTTATAACTTTAGATTCTTAGAGGCACCCACCATACTGATGTTCTTACAAAGAGGCTTATGCACCTTTTTATGGATGTTAAGGAATACCTTCCAGACCTATGGGAAGGTAAAAAATAATAATAATGAGAGCTAATTTGTCAGCTTGACAATTTCAGAAATCCATCATTTGACTACAGTAAAGTAGTCTTATACAAGAGAGTGAGCCAATTAACCCTGCCACTCACAGGCAGCAAAGTACAAAAGAGATTTAAGATTAGAGGTCTGAGATATCAAATTTAATGCATGACTTAAAATATATGTCTTCTGGTGCAGTGATACATGAATGGCTGAAATCTTTGGCACATTTCTGGCATTGAGAATAATGATTGACAATTAGATATAAGGGGAATTTTGGACATGATAGAAATAGGTCAATATTCAGTTTTGTTCCTCCATTCAAAGAATAGAAGCAAACTCTAGAAAACTGTCAGAGCTTAATTTTATTTTATTTCTCCTTTAAAAATAAGTCCCTGTTTGGCCACATACCAGCACTTTGATACTGACAATGGATGTTTGCTTTCTGGATTTCATTTGAAGAATGTGTTCTTCTCCCTGGTAAAATGTGAACAACGCTTCTTAAAAACTATAATAAAACAAAGCATTGAATAAAGTCAGAAAACGTTGGTCATAATCAGAAATATTACAAAAACTACCTGTATGATCTTAGTTGAGCAATAGAATAATTTTATTCCCCAGTTTACAGAAATAGAAAATGAGAAAAATGACTAAATTTAAATTTCAGTGTTTCTTCCAGTTAAAAAAAAACACCCAAACCATTCATCATCTTAATTGCCTACTTCCTCAACTCATGTTGCTACATTAAATTACAATGAACTTTCAATAAAATAGTTCATTCAGTTCAGTTTTAATTTGAGCTAGAGCCCATGTGCTGATGCTAAGAAACTACACAAACAATAAAAATATAAATTGAAATGTTTGCTCTCTTCTAGAAGATAATAACAAAGAGTGTTTTTTTGGAAATATGAGGACAATTCACTGTAAGTTTACCTAGACTATTGAATCTATAATGCTGTTTTATTTCTAACAAATATTTTGAATAATAATGAGACTACTTTTAAAGGAAAACACATACATGCTGGAATATATGGACAGAATATATTTTCTTTCCATCCACATAAAATTTTACATAGTGAATTTAATTTTTTAAAAAGAGAAAATGGTCAAGATAACTAAAACACTTATTTACATTAATAGATTGTTTAATTATTTTCTGTACTTGCAAAAGATCTAAATAGTTATTTATAAAACTCAATGGATTAGAAATATGTATTAGATGAGATCATTACATATTCTTTGTGCCATAAAAATTTAAAAAATGTTTTTTAACTTGGGGGTTCAGATTTTAATCAGTTTTTTACTTTTTAAATATTTTAATTGATATGTAATGGATAAACATTTTGGGGGCACGTGTGATAATTTCATACATTCTTATAGTCAAATCAGAGTATTGGGTTATTCATCACTTTAAATACTTTTCTTAACACTAAAAACATCAAATTATTCTCTCCTAGCTGTTTTGAAATGTACAGTTAATGTTAACTATAGTCCCCCTCCTGATCTATTGGACACTAGGTCTTATTTCTTTTATTTAACTGTATATTTATGCCAATTAGTGAACCTGTCTTCATTCCTTCCTCCCCACTATTTCTTCCTGGCTTCTTGTAACTACAAATCTACTCTCTGTCTTCATGGATACACCATATTTTTAGCTCTCACATGTAAGTGAGGACATGAAATATTTGCATTTCTGTGCTTGGCTTTTGTATTAGTATGTTCTCAGATTGCTATAAAGAACTACCTGAAATTGGGTAATTTATTTTTAAAAAAATTGGTTTTAACTGACTCACAGTTCTGCAGGCCGTACAGGCAGCATGGCTGGTGAGGTCTCAAGAAACTTAAAATCATGGTGGAAGGCAAAGAGGAAGGAAGCATGTCTTACAGTGCTGGAGTAGGAGGAAGAGAGAGCAGGGAGAGGTGCTACACACTTTTAAACAACCAGGTG